>NT_187382.1:300000-448248 GCF_000001405.40 Homo sapiens
GTCCTAATTCAGGTTTGCAAAATATTATCAAGGCAAATCTTTATGGAGATTTTATTGAGATATTATTTTATAACAAAAAATGGGATAACTGTAATGTTCATCAAAAAAATTGGTGGTAGAAGGAAGGAAGGTGTTGGAGTGTTCAGTAACCTTACCCCAGAATGCCACAGTACAAATTCTGTGAGAAGTCATTCTTGTGTAGTAGAGGCATTCATTTTTCTCCTAATATCCCTTCTGAAAATTCCCTTTTACTAGTCAGCTCTTAGCTTCTTGGAAAGAAGGCCCTTCGTCTAGGACAATGTTCATCTCCCCACATAAAAATTCACAATTCATGGCATGTTAGTTCAATAAAATATTATGCTTTCTAAGGATGATAATTATGAAAACTTGCTATAAATGGGAGCAAGTTCAACATTAAATCACATGAAACAGACATATTAACAAAAATAGATACATTAGAGCAATTGAACTATAAATGCTTTTTTCCTTTAAAAATTTTCCTTCATGTTATTTTCACATTCTTTTAGCAACAAATGACAATGAACTGCCATTGATTTTATTTTTTGAACTTAAGCAGTGTATCTACAAGTACACCATTGCCCTGTCCAATTTTTAGGGGGAGATATTCTATTATCTAAAACTCAATAAATTGACCCATCACGTTTTTGGTGATACCTTATTTAGGTAAAAATATTAGGCATTTAGAAGAATGCATTTGTGAATATTTTGACTGATATTACTATAGATGGAATTAGAATCTGCCCTTTAGGGGCTCAGAAGGAAGTAATGTTTGGATGTCATTAGGCTAGAATATTTTATTGTCCCACAAAAATGTTGATAAATTGCTTATAAGGGCTTATTTATTAGAAATGACCATGTCACCAAATAATAAAGCCAAATATGATAGGAATCACAATCAGAAAATATGTTTTTTCTTCTTTTATTTACAACCAACCAAACAAAATAACATAGATGTAATTTTGTCAATGTCAGAACAATAAATTTAAGTCAAATAGAACTTAAAGAATTTTTATTACAGATGAATCAGATGGAAACTATCCAGAAAACACCCAAATATGTACATTCCTCAGTTAATACTCAGTCTAGGTGCCAAAGGGAAGCCACACGCTTCCATTTATCTATATAATTTGGCAACTTTAATTTGTAAGGGGCCCAACAGGTGTTTAATTTCATAGGCTGATATAGTCAATATCACTAGATCCATATTTTTTAGATTTAAATAACTATATAATTCTGATTTCTCTTTGTTAGACTGTACTGATCTGATCATGGAGGAATAATCTAATATGGCTTAGATTATGTTGGAACTCCCCAGAACTTTCCTCAGGGCTGCCTTTATCTCCTTATTCTGGAGGCTATAGATAAGGGGATTGAAGAGTGGGGTCACCATAGCATAGAACAAAGTTTTGATTTTCTGCATCCCCATAGAGTGTCCAAGTCCTGGACTCACACACATGACCATAAGAGAGCCATAGAACAGTGATACCACAGCCAAATGAGACCCACAGGTAGAGAAGGCTTTATGTTTCCCAGTGCTCGAAGGCATACCCAACACAGCTTTCAGGACAAGAGTATAGGATCCAATAATAAAGAGGAAGTTACCAAAAATAACTAATGAGCTTAGAGTGTAGCAAAACAGTTGGATTCTTGGGGCAGAGACACAAGCCAATGCAAATAGTGGCCCTGGGTCACACACAACATGGTCATTAATGTTTGGACCACAGAAGGGCATCTGAGAGATGAGAACAGTGGGGATCAGGAAACACAGAAATCCACAAACCCAGCACAGTATGACCAGTTTGGCACAGAGATGCCCAGTCATGATTTATTAGGATAGTGCAAGGGATGGCAGATAACAAGGTACTGATCAAAGGCCATCACAGTCAAAATCAAGCATTCAGATGTACCAAAGAGAAGAAGAAATAAAATTGGAGAAAACATCCAGCAAAGGAGATGGTTTTTTTCTCTGAAAGGAAGTTGACCAACATCTTGGGAACTGTAGAAGAGACATACCATATCTCTAAAAAGGAGAAATTTCCCAGGAACATGTACATGGGAGTGTGACGTCGCCGGTCACACCACAGGGCGCAAGCAATGGCTCCGTTTCCTGTTATGGTCAGTGCATATGTTGTAGTGAAGAGTGAGAAGAGGAAGATCTGAATTGTCCACTCAAAAGATAAATCTTGGAGTATAAATTCATTTACTAAAGCAAAGCTGGAATTTGGCTCAGAGACATTCATTGGGCCAGTGACCTGCAAGGTCAAGAGACACATTATCAGTCAGGACTCTTTTACAAAATGAGTTCCTTTTTTAAGAATGAAGAGAAGACAATGAACATGAAGTCATTTTTCAAAAGAATAATTAGGAAGAGAATATAGTTTACTTTTTCTTGGCTATACAGTATATGAGTTTTGGGCTTAGTAGGTAGCTGATTGAACAAAAACTTCTGCCAGCTTCTAAATCTCTCCTTAATATGCAATCGTGATAGAACTAGGTAAAGTTAAATTCCTTTTGTAAGGTCATTATTTTGGGACAGAAATGATTTAATATAGTTTCTGGATAGCATACAACCCAAAGTTAGTACTTTGAGAAGGCACAAATGTGTTAGTTTCTTACTGCAAACCCAACTTATAGTGCAATAGACTCAGCAAGGAAAGTTTTGACCATTTACATTTCAGCTAAACATATTACTTAACATTATTTACATATGCAAAAGAAATGCACATATTTTAAAATAAATTGGTAGCTATCACGTTAAAGCCATTATCTCTGAATTTCTATTGCTGCTGTTGTTAGCTTAAGTGATTATCTAATGTTGCTTACCAATATTGACTTTTAATATTAATATTGTAAAGCTGCATTGTTTTCTGTAGAAAGGGAAGGCTTTAAGTTTCTGATTAATCTTTTACCTTAATTTCATAAACTGATACAGTGATTATTATATTGATAAAATCAATACAGTATTGATTTAGTCATTATGTACAAAAGTTTGCAAAGATCTAGACATTAAACTTTATTTTTGAAGGTATTTCATAAAATTTGGAGATTGATTTTCCTTATATGCTTTTTATAAAATTGAAAAATTTTACTAAATGACAGAAATTAAACACTTTTTTTTGTTATAGGTAAACTTCCTCCTACATTCTTCTAAAAATGTATTTAGGGATTTGAGTTACCTGAAAAAACTTTTTTTTCCTCAGAAATATGGAGGGATGTGAGTTCTAGATGTCAAGAGGGCTTGCATTTTGAGAAGAAACACAAATTTTCAGAAGTTTTTCTTCCAATTTGATCTCTACACCAGTGCTCTAGGAATTCTTTTGGTATGACTAGTTAGAAGTTATGTTTGTGCCTCTTTTAGTAATAGATGCCTCTTTAATTGGCTTCCAACCAGAAACATTAATAAACCAACATTAGGAAATTATGGAAACGGATTGACATGGGAGTGTCATGATTCTCAGCAGTGCTCAAAAGGTGAAGCCATCATCGTTTTGACATGAACCAAATCTCTAAATGATTTATTTTATAAACCATATTCTGCCTCCAGCTAGACAGTTTTATTGTGGCCCCAAAATTAAAAATGCACTTTATAAAACTCACTTTCTCCTGGGATGTAGCTTCTATAGCATTAGGAAAGTTATCTTCCAAGCCAATGAATCTTTAAAAAGTTAATGATTAGATATTCTCTGAAGAATCAGTAAAGAGTAATGACAACTATTCTAAGACATCATTATTTACAAAGAGCTTGCCCACCAGACGGATTCCAAAAAATCTTCCAGAAGACACAGTCTGAGGAGAAATAAGATACAAAATGTTACCAAAAGTTCTGACATAATGTTTAGGAACATTTCAAGTGTTACTGTGCATATGTTGGAGGATATACAGCCCAGTGAGGAAAATACTGATGTTCCAACATTGTCACATATTGAGCAAAAACTTACAGAATTTAGAAATAACTTTTAGAAGGATGGCACTTTTTTGGCAGATTCCTTTAGATATGAGAAAAAAGTATAAGAAGTAGCAACATTTAAGTTAATTGACAGAAATACTTGAGAGGAACATGTGACTTCCCAATTAACATGAAAGAAGTATTGACTTTTATTTGTGTCCCTTCTATTTTTACTTTATGGCATTTAGGGGCCAATATAGTGTAGCTAAACACTCATGTGTGAGTGAATGCTCATACCAAGTGCTGTGAAGTAGTTGAGGACATCAGGGATGTATGCCCTAGGACTACAGACATCTGTCTAAAAGCACACTTCCACTTTGAAAGACTATGGAGGAAAATGTTTATTCAGACCTTTATTATCACTTAATCATAATACTTAGAAACTCCTAAAACATAGCTTTGATCTTGTTGTCTGCTCCAAAAGCCATCAATGATTTCAAGTTCCCAAGTTCTCCACAAATTGACTTCAAATTACTTTCCTGGTGTTATCTTTCCCTACTCTCTTTTACAGATAAATTAGACAGTAGACAGCATTTCATTCTCTGAATAGGTTCAGTTTCCTATGTTCTCTTTTTTGTGATCATTTTCTGTGTTTGGAATTCTATTTATCTCCACCTACACCTGTAAAAACCCTCCTTCAAGATCCAGTTCAAAAGACATTTTTCCCCCCAGAATGTTTTCCCCTCTTCCCCTAAGCAAAGCACCTTTTCCATCCTTGCATTTTTTTTTTTTTTTTGAGACATAGTCTCGTTCTGTCCCCAGGCTGGAATGCAGTGGTGTGATCTCAGCTCACTGCAACCTCCGCCTCCTGGGTTCAAACAATTCTCCTGCTTCAGCCTCCTGAGTAGCTGGGACTACAGGTGCACGCCACCATGCCCAGCTAATTTTTGTATTTTTAGTGGAGACAGGGTTTCACAATGTTGGCCAGGATGGTCTCTATCTCTTGACCTTGTGATCCACTTGCCTCAGCCTCCCAAAGTGCTGGGATTACAGGTGTGAGCTACCATGCCTGGCCCCATCCTTGAATTTTTATTTTACCATCTTTGTGTCTTTGTCATGATACTAATCATAAGCTGCCCTATATCAATGTTCATCCATGATATTGGCTTGAAGTTTTTTCTTGTTGTTGTGTCTCTACCAGGTTTTGGTATCAGGATGATGCTGGCCTCATAGAATGAGTTGGACAGTTCTCAGTTTTTTGGAATCATTTCAGCAAAAATGGTACTGGCTCTTCTTTGCATATCTGGTAGAATTTGGCTGTGAATCCATCTAGTCCTGAGCTTTTTAAAATATATATATATTTTGGTTGGTAGGCTATTTATTACTGATGCAATTTTGGAGCAGGTTATTGGTGTGTCCAGGAATTTACCCATCTCTTACAGGTTTTCTAGTTTGTGTGCATAGAGGTGGTTGTAGTAGTTTCTGATGGTTATTTTTTATTTCTGTGGGGTCAGTGGTAACATGACCTTTTTCATTTCTAGTTGTGATGTTTCTTTCAAAAGATTAGAATGGTAAAAATTATATCTATTCTGATTAGGGCTTCTAGGCATTATTAAATGTTTACACCTTTAATTTACTCTGGTCAACAGTATATTTTTGGGGACTTTTTCTTAAATAATCTTGTCACTAAACCACTTACTTTATAAACAGCCTGATTAAATGAACATGCATTTGAACATTAGACTCTGGATAGACAAGATTAATTAACCTTTGACACAAGAAGCTCACAGTACAACAGGCCACTCTGATAGGACAAAAGTCCTAGGAAGTCTATGTCGGCAAAATCCCACCTAAGGGCTAAACTTTAAGCTCTATTCACTTTTAGCTAATTAAGTAAATATACTGCCATCCCATGCTGATAGTGATGAGCAGTCTCGGGGGAGTTTGACTTCTATAGGGAGGGAGGGAGGCGATGTGTTTCTGCACTTTGCTTCTTCAGTCAGGCATTCTGTGACTTCTTCATTTCCTTCCACTCCTCTTCAAGCCCTGGTATGTTGGCTCAGAAGCACAAGAGGGCAGGATAATCCTCACTGTCTCATTCACACTGACTGAAACCCTGGGCTTTGAAATACAGACTCACTCCTCCCAAGCTCTACTCTGATGCTGGGAGCAATTTAGAGCAAATGTTATCCAAAGTGACATTACCTAGATCACTAGGTTCTTTCTTTCACCCACCTCCAATCCTGCTGTTCTTTCACTTCTAAGTCAAGGAAACTCCAAGTTTACACTTTGCAGGAGCCCCTGGAATATTTGGGGTTTCATATTGCACATCAAAACTATTTCTCACTGACCCAATCATCTATTAAAAATCTTGTTGAATTTCTGCCATTTTAATGGCTATCTGCCTTCATATGAAGTTCTTGGTATTATAATAGTCAGTGTGCTTCCAAATTAATCCCAATTCGTTTACTTTTACTTTAAGATGAAATGTAGGCAGAGCACAGTGGCTCACACCTGTAATCCCAGCACTTTGGGAGGCCAAGGCGGGTGGATCATGAGGTCAGGAGTTCAAGACCAGCCTGGCCAACATAGTGAAACCCTATCTCTACTAAAAATAGAAAAAAAAAAAACAGCCAGGCATCGTGGCAGGCACCTGTAATCCCAGCTACTTGGGATTCTGAGGCAAGGAGAGTCGTTTGAACCTGGGAGGTGGAGGTTGCAATGAGCCGAAGTCGCGCCACTGCACTCCAGCCTGGGTGACAGTGCAAGACTCCGTCTCAAAAAAAAAAAAAAAAAAAAAAAAAAGAAGAAGAAATGTAGCTTAGAAACCATTCTTCCATAAAACCAAAACCATATCTCCTTAAGAGGATGTTGGAAAATCAGCCTTTCTCGTAAAGTAGTTTTCCCCACAAGTTTAAACACATTACTCCACTATAAGTTTAGAGACTATTTTAAAAAACTATTATGCTTCAGCTTTTCCTGCAGTTCTCTCTTTCTTGTCTCTTACATACTTCTCTGTGATCTGGTCCAACAATTATTGCCATGGCAACAAAGGCTCTGTGACATCTCTAGCAAGCTCATTGTCTTCTGCCTTATTAAACTTTAATGGGTAACTAGTAGACAGTAACACTCTGGGAGGGCTCAAACCACATAACCAAATGTGCCAAGATAATCCTGAGCTCACTATTGTCAGGTAAGACAAAGTATTTTAGTGCAATAGCAAACAATTAATTAAACAAACAAAAACAAGAAACCTTTCTTGGGACAGGAAGCCATTAATTAGCTAAGCTCAGAGCCACTCATTGAAACTAGGTCCTGATTGGGTTTCTGGATTTGACCACTGGGCAGAAACTAGGACCCAAAACCAATTGGAATGAAATGGTCCGCAGATATTGTTTTCATGTAAGGATAGGTTTGGAAGTATCCAGACTTAGTGGTGGGCCAGGCCTCCCCTGCGAGCAGTACAGTTCAGGACACCTGGACTGCCCTTTCCCTCTGCCTTCCCTGGGGTAATGTGAATGGCTTAGTCTTTCGTGTTCTCAACTGTAACATGGAGGAGGAAGAGAAGAGCCTCACTGCACATATTGGGTCATTAAGAATGATCTTAGAGCCATAATTTACAATATTTTGAAGTTAGGTTTGATTTTTACCACTCCACTACTCCTCTCCCAATATGTTGTGCCAAATTGTAAGTAATTTGCAATTAGAACACATTGAAGACATATATTTGAGCTCCTCAGAGAGTCTCACCCACCTTTGTGGTAACTTTTTGTACTTCAGGTTTTCTCAAGTCAGAGTGTTGAGTCCTTAAATCAGTGTTGGGTAGTGATAAAATTTTGATACATTGGGTAGTGATAAAATTTTAATTGCCTAAGTTTAGTAAATGGGGGACAGGCTTGCTTATCAACAGTCTTTGTGGCATTTTATGCTGAAAAAGCCTTGAGGCTCAGACTCAGCCCACAGTTCTCTGCACTCCCTCCACTTCCCTTCTGTGCCTTTCATGTGTATCCTTTACAGCAATTTTTTTTTGTGAGTTCTTTTCCTTTTTGAGATCTCTCTTAAGGTTAATGGTGTACAGTAGATATCCAGAACTTATTCATCCCTTTTAGCTGAAACATTGTACCCTTTGACAAATGTCTCCCCATATCCCCTGGGCACAATTTTCAATAGGTAGTTAGGGAAAGCCTCAATGAAAAGGTTGGGATTTTGGGATGCTGATAACATTCAGTTTCTGGAACTAGGTACCTTTACACAGGAGTATCAGTTGATAACAATTCATTGAGCAATATACTTAGGATTTGTGCACTGTACTTTTTGCATGTTATAGATGAATAAAAAATTCAGAAATCTCATAAAGGTGATATTTGGATAAAGACTTGAAGGAAGTGTGGAGGCAACAAATATAAACATCTGGGGAAAGAGGGTTCCAGGCAGAGGAGATGGCATGTGTAGGTGCCACGAAGCAGGAGCACGCCTGGCATGATTGAGACGGCAGGGAGTCCTCATCTCTTCTTCACCTACGCTACATCTCTGAAATGGCCATTTCAGAAAGCATGAAATTTATTTACATGAGTTTATTTTAACAAATGCTCACTTTTGATATTTTACAAGAGTAACTACAAGTTTATTATAGAAAAATTTGAGAAAACATACATATGCATGAGAATACAACATAACCATTTAACATTTAAAATTTTTCCTTTCATCACACTTATATTCATAATGTTTGTAATTAAGTGTAAAATTTACTATACATGTTTATATTATTTATATTTATATTTTAATATTAAAAACTGATTAGTTAATTCAATAATAATAATTGATTGTGAATGTTCCAGGGACTACTCTAAATGCTCATGCACATAGCAGTGAACAAAATGTACAAAAATTCCTATGTGGAACTTATATTCCAAAGGGAGACAACAGGTGTTAAATAAATAAGTAAACTATAGTATATTAGGGAGTGATGAGGAAACGTGGAGAAAAATTAGAAACGTCAGGTCAATAGGGAGTGTGTGTGGGAGCTGGCAGAGGTGCATTTTACCCCCAGCCTTACTAAGATGTAATTGACAAAAACAGTATACAGATTCACATGAGAAGAAAAAACAATTCACAGAACTAGCATTTGACTGTTTGGTGAGACATTCTGGAGTTTAAGCTGTCATTTAAACCAGTTACGATTTTCCATAGGGAGCTACTCTGTCACTTGGGTCTTTTCCCAGTTAAGCAAGGCTACTTTCCATGGAATCATTATCCAGTATATGAGGCTCACTTGGCACTTGTTCAATATGCGCTTGCCTTATAATAGGTGATTGGATATTTTTTATTAAAAAACTATGCATTTGTGGCATACAAGATGATTTTTTGATATGTATACATGGTGAAATGATTAATTCAAACTAATTAACATTTATCACTTCTACATACTTTCATTTTATTGTGTGAGAACATTTAAAATCTCTTCTAAAAATTTCAAGTATACTTTTGGCCCTATGTTTCCATGAGTTCCACATTCAGGCATTCAACCAACTGGATAGAAACTATTTGTACAAAAAACCCACAAAAAATACAGTAAAAGCAATAAAAATAAAAAAATGCAGTATAACAACTACTTATAAAACATTTATATTTTATTAGTATTATAAGTAATCTATAGATGATTTAAAGTGTATGGAAAAATATGCGTAGGTTACATGCAAATATAAAATGATATCATTTTATATAAGGGACTTGAACATCCCAGGATTTTGGTGTCCTTGGGGAGTCCTGGAACGAATCGCCCCCCTGATATTGCAGATATTTAGGGACAATGGTATAACACATGACTGTTAACTACAGTCACTATGCTGTACAGTAGATCTCCAAAACTTATTCATTCTGTTTAGCTGAAACATTGTACCTTTTGACCAATATCTCTCAATTCCCCTGAGTGGAATTTTCAATAGCTAGTCAGGAAAGGCCTCACCGAAAAGGTGATATTTGGTCAAAGATTTGAAGGGAGTGTTAGGGAAAGAAATATAAATATCTGGGAAAAGAGCATTCCAGGCAAAGGAGATGACATGTATAGGGACCACAAGGCAGGAGCATGCCTGCCATACTTGAGAGACAGTAAGGAATCTTCATCTTTTCCTCATGTCTTTCTCACCTCCAATATATTTAAATATGGCTTCCCCCCACCACACCCTTAAAATGGCCATTGCATAAATCACCAATAACATTTGTGTTAGTCCATTTTACGTTGCTATAAAGGAATACCTGAGACTGAGTAATTTATAAAGAAAAGAGGTTTATTTGGCTCATGGTCCTGCAGTCAATACAAGCATGGCATCAGCATCTGCTTAGCTTCTGAAGCCTAAGGAAACTTCTACTCATTGAAGAAAGCAAAGAGGGAGCAGTTGTGTCACATGGCAAGAAAGGGAGCTAGGTGGGGAGGGGGTTGTCCCATACTCTTTTTAACCATCAGATCTGATGGTAACTCTACTATGGGTAAAATGCAAACCCATTCCTGAGGGTTGGGTTGGATACCATCACCATCCCATGAGGGATTCACCTCCATAACACAGACACCTCCCACCAGGCACCCCCTCTGACACTGGGGATCACAATTCAGCCTGAGATTTGGAGGGTGCGTTGAATATAATGTGAGCTGTAGGCTTGTAATACATGGTCTTTATTATGTTGAAGTATATTTCTTCTAAACCAACTCTGTTGAGAATCTTTTCATGAAACAATGTTGAATTTTTCAAATGCTATTTCTGCATCTAATTAGATGATTATATAATTTTGGGCTTCATTTTGTTAATGTATATCACATTTATAGATGTATGTATGTTGATCCACCTTGTATCCTTGGGGTAAATCCACTTGAGCATGGTAAGTTATCTTTTTAACGTGCTGTTGAATTCAGTGTGCTAGTATTTGATTGAGGATTCTTTCATCTATGTTCATCAGGGATATTGGCCTATAATTTTTCTTTTCTTTTCTTTTCTTTTTCTTGTTCTTGTCTGGCTTTGGTGTCAGAGTAATGTTGGCCACGTAAAAAAAGTTTGTAAGTGAAGTATTCCTTCCTCTTAGATTTTTTTTGGAAGAGTTTAAGGATTGCTAATTATTTCAGTGTTTGGTAGAATACAACAGTAAAGCTATTCTGGGCTTCTCTTTGATGGGAGACTTTATTACAATTCAATCTTCTTACTCATTTTTGGTCTGTTCATACTTTTTCTTCATGATTCAGTCTTGGTATCTTGCATGTATCTTGGAATTTATTTATTTCTTATACTTTATTCAATTTGTTACTGTACAATTTTTCATAGTACTCTCTTATGAGCTTTTTTTTCTTATGAGCTTTTATATTTCTATGGTATCAGTTGTAATGTCTCCCTTTTCACTTTTGATTGTATTAATATTTGAGTCCTTTCTTTTTTTTCCTTGGTCTGGCTAAAGGTTTGTTGATTTGTTTATCCTTCTGAAAAAACACTCTTTATTACATTGAGTTCTTTTCTATTGTAGTTTTAGTCTCTATTTTGTTTATTTCTATTCAGATCCTTGTTATTTCCTTCCTTCTGCTGACTTTGGGTTTAGTTTGTTCTTTTTTTATTAGTTACTAGAGTTGTAATATCAGGTTGTTTATTTTATATTTTCCTTTTTAAATTTTTATGGGTACACAGTGACTGTATATGTTTATGGGGTACATGAGATATTTTTCTACAGGCATACGGTGTATAATAATTACATCGCGGTAAATGGGATATTCATCACTTCAAACATTTACCCTTTCTTTGTGTTACAAACAATGCAATTATGCTCTTTTAGTTATTTTTAAATGTACTATAAATTGTTTGGCTATAGTCACCTTGTTGTTCTATCAAATACTAGATCTTACTTATTCTATCTAACTGTATTTTTATGCCGATTATCCATTCCTCCCCTTAACCCTACTATTCTTCCTAGTCTCTGGTAACCATTACTGTATTCTCTATCTCCATAAATCCAGTTATTTTAAGTTTTAGCTCCCACAAATAAGTGAGAACATGGAAAATTTGTCTTTCTGTCCCTGGCTTATTTTATTTAACGTAATAACCTCCAGTTCTATCCATGTTGTTGCAAATAACAGGATCTCATTCTTTTTCATGGCTGTATATTACTCGATTGTGTACATTAACCACATTTTCTTTATTCATCTGTTCATGGACAAACAGGTTGCTTCCAAATCATGACTATTGTGAATAGTGTTGCAATATGCATGGGAGTGCAGGTATCTCTCAGATATCCTGATTTCCTTTCTTTTGTGTATATACCTACCAATGGCATTGCTGGGTCATATGGTAGCTCTATTTTTGTTTTTTTTGAGAAACCTCCAAACTGTTCTCCATAGTGATTGTACTAATTTACATTCCCACCAATAGTGGGTTCCCTTTTCTCCATATCCTAGCCACTATTTCTTACTGCCTGTCTTTTGGATATAAGCCATTTTAACTAGGGTTAGATGATTCGTCTTGTAGTTTTGGTTTGCATTTCCCTGATGAGCAATGATGCTGAGCACTTTTTCACATGCCTGTTTGCCATTTATGTGTCTTCTTCTGAGCAAGATCTTTTGCCCATTTTTAAATTGGATGATCAGAATTTTCCTATAGAGTTGTTTGAGTTCCTTATATATTCTGGTTATTAATCCCTTGCCAGATGGATAGTTTACAAATATTTTCTCCTATTTTATGATTGTCTTTTCAACATCAATTGAAATGATCCTATGGTTTTTGTTTTTAACTTTATGTGATGAATCACATTTATTGATTTGCATATGTTGAATCATCCTAGCATTTCTAGAATAAAACTCAATCGATCATGGTGAATTAAATTTTTAATGTGCTGTTGGATTTAGTTTGTTAGTATTTTGTTGAGGATTTTTGCAGCAGTGTTCATCAGGGATATTGGTCTGTAGTTTTCTTTTGTTGATATGTCTCTTTCTGGTTTTATATCAGAGTAATACTGGCCTAATAGAATGAATTTGGATGTATTCTGTGTTCCTATATTTTTTGGAATAGTTTGAATAGTGTTGGTATTAATTCCTCTATAATATTTGGTAAAATTCAGCAGAGAAGCCACCATGTCCTGGGATTTTCTTCGCTGGGAGACTTTTTATTAGGGCTTTGATCTCATTACTTGTTATTGGTTTGTTCAGGTTTTGGATTTCTTCATGGCTCAAACCTCATAGGTTGTATGTATCTAAGAATTTATCTATTTTATCTGGATTTTCCGGTTTATTGGCATATGGTTGCAAGTGATCCTTTTAATTTCTGCAGTATTGGTTTTATGTCTTAATTTTATTTATTTGGGTCTTTTCACTTTTTCTCTTAGGTAAAGTTTTGTTGATTTTGTTCATCTTTTCAAAAAACAAACTTTTCACTTTGTTGATCTTCTGTATTGTATGCTTTGTTTCCATTTCATTTATTACTACTCTGATCTTTATTATTTATTTTCTCCTAATAATTTGGGTTTGTTTGCTTTTGCTTTTTTAGTTTTTAAAGATACATCACTAGGTTATTTGAAATTTTTCTACTTTTTTGGTGTAGGCACTTGTAGCTATAAACTTTCACTTGCCAGGTTTTGGTATCAAAGAGATGCTGGCTTCATAGAATGAGTTAGGGGGGAGTCCATTCTCCTCATTTTTGGGAATAGTTTAAGTAGAGTTGATACTAGCTCTTCTTTGTATGCATGGTAGAATTTGGCTGTGAAACCATCTGGTCTAGGACTTTTTTGGTTGGTAGATTTTTATTGCTGCTTCTATTTTGGACCTTAATATTGGTCTTTTAGGGTTTTAATTTCTCCCAGATTCAATCTTGGGAGGTTGTTTCCAGAAATTGATCAATTTCCTCTAGATTTAGTAGTTTGTGTTCATAGAGGTGTTCCTAATAGTCTTGGAGGATATTCTGTATTTATCGGATCATCTGTAATGTCACCTTTGTCATTTCTTAATGTGATTATTTGAATCTTCTCTCTCTCTTCCTCTTGCTCTCGCTCTCTCTCTGTTACTGTAGCTGGCAGCCCATCAATCTTGTTTATCCTTTTAAGGAATCAACTTTTGGTTTCATTGATTCTTGGTATTAATTTTCTGGTGTATTTCAATCAGGTCTGCTCTGGTTTTAGTTATTTTTTTTTCTGCTAGCTTTGTTTTAGCTTTTCTAGCTATTCTGTTGGATGCTAGGTCATTAATTTGAGGTATATCTAACTTTCTGCGGTAATTGTTTGGTGCTATAAACTTTTCTCTTAACACTGCTTTTGCTGCATCCCAGAGATCTTGGCATATTGTGTCTCTGTTTTCAGTTATTTCAAAGACTTTTTTGATTTCTGCCTTAATTTCATTGTTCACCCAGAAGTCATTCAGGAGCAAGTCACTTAATTTCCATGTAGTTGTGTAGTGTTGGGTGATGTTTTTAGTCTTTATTTTTATATGATATACTATTCTAAGCTGACAACAATCACAACTGTATGCTTTATTTGCCAACAACAACCGTACACTTTATTTCTCCTCTCCCACATTTTACGATTTTGATGTCAAAATATACATCATTTTCTTATGTGTATCCATTGACTATTTTTGCTCTATGTGTTTTAATAGATTTGTCTTTTAACCATTGTACTATAGGAAAAAATTGCTTTACACATCATCATTACAGTCTTAGAATATTCTGGATATGACTTTGTATTTCTTATCCCATTGCATTTGTGTTCTCATATGTTTTATATTTTTAATTAGCAGCCTTTTAATTCAGCTCAAAGAACTTCCTTTAGTAATTCTCTTAAGACATATTTAGTGGTGATGAACTCTCATAGCTTTTGTTTGTCTGGAAAAGTTTTTGCTTTTCTCTCATTTGCCAAGGACAACTTTGCTGGGTTAAGTAGACTTGTTGGCCTTGTTTTTTCCCTTCAGCACTTTGAATACATTATCCTACTCTCTCCTGGTCTCCTGAGATTTTGTTGAGAAATCCAGTGACAGCTATTTTGATATTCCCTTCTATGTGATATGCTTCTAATTACTTGCTGTTTTCAAAATGTTTTCTTTTTCTTTAATTTTTGGTATTTGAATTATTGTACATCTTGGATAACTCCTATTTGGCTTAAACTTGTTTGGATAACTCTGCATTTGCTGTGTTTAGATGTTAGCAACTTTCTCCAGATTTGGTAGTTCTTTAGAATTTCTTCTTCAGATATGCTTTCTGGTCTCTTTTCTATTTCTTTTCTTTCTGAAAACTCCTATTAGATGAATATTAGGTCTTAATAGTTTCCCTTCATATCCAGAGTCTGTCTTTATTCTTTTTCAATCTTCTTAATTTTTTCTCTTCTGACTGAATTATTTTAAATGTTTTGTCTCTAGCTTATTGATTGTTTCCCTTCTGCTTGATTGAGCCTGTTCTTAGAGCTTTCTATTGCATTTTCATTTCAGTCATTTTATTCTTTAAGATTTCTATATTTTTATTATTCCTATTTGTCAAACATGTTATATTGTTTATTATTTTTCAATTTTTTTAATTATCTACCCTTATATTATTGTAGTTCACTAAATTTTTTTTATTATACTTTAAGTTTTAGAGTACATGTGCACAATGTGCAGGTTAGTTACATATGTATACATGTGCCATGCTGGTGCGCTGCACCCACTAACTCGTCATCTAGCATTAGGTATATCTCCCAGTGCTGTCGCTCCCCCCTCCCCCCACCCCACGACAGTACCTAGAGTGTGATGTTCCCTTCCTGTGTCCATATGTTCTCATTGTTCAGTTCCCACCTATGAGTGAGAATATGTGGTGTTTGGTGTTTTGTTCTTGCGATAGTTTACTGAGAATGATGGTTTCCAATTTCATCCATGTCCCTACAAAGGACATGAACTCATCATTTTTTATGGCTGCATAGTATTCCATGGTGTATATGTGCCACATTTTCTTAATCCAGTCTATCATTGTTGGACATTTGGGTTGGTTCCAAGTCTTTGCTATTGTGAATAGTGCCGCAATAAACGTACTTGTGCATGTGTCTTTATAGTAACATGATTTATAGTCCTTTGGGTATATACCCAGTAATGGGATGGCTGGGTCAAATGGTATTTCTAGTTCTAGATCCCTGAGGAATCGCCACACTGACTTCCACAATGGTTGAACTAGTTACAGTCCCACCAACAGTGTAAAAGTGTTCGTTTCTCCACATCCTCTCCAGCACCTGTTGTTTCCTGACTTTTTAATGATCGCCATTCTAACTGGTGTGAGATGATATCTCATTGTGGTTTTGATTTGCATTTCTCTGATGGCCAGTGATGGTGAGCATTTTTTCATGTGTTTTTTGGCTGCATAAATGTCTTCTTTTGAGAAGTGTCTGTTCATGTCCTTTGCCCAATTTCGATGGGGTTGTTTGTTTTTTTCTTGTAAATTTGTTTGAGTTCATTGTAGATTCTGGATATTAGCCCTTTGTCAGATGAGTAGGTTGTGAAAATTTTCTCCCATTTTGTGGGTAGCCTGTTGACTCTGATGGTAGTTTCTTTTGCTGAGCAGAAGCTCTTTAGTTTAATTAGATCCCATTTGTCAATTTTGGCTTTTGTTGCCATTGCTTTTGGTGTTTTAGACATGAAGTCCTTGCCCATGCCTATGTCCTGAATGGTAATGCCTAGGTTTTCTTCTAGGGTTTTTATGGTTTTAGGTCTAACATGTAAGTCTTTAATCCATCTTGAATTGATTTTTGTATAAGGTGTAAGGAAGGGATCCAGTTTCAGCTTTTTACATATGGCTAGCCAGTTTTCCCAGCACCATTTATTAAATAGGGAATCCTTTCCCCATTGCTTGTTTTTGTCAGGTTTGTCAAAGATCAGATAGTTGTAGATATGCGGCATTATTTCTGAGGGCTCCGTTCTGTTCCATTGATCTATATCTCTGTTTTGGTACCAGTACCATGCTGTTTTGGTTACTGTAGCCTTGTAGTATAGTTTGAAGTCAGGTAGTGTGATGCCTCCAGCTTTGTTCATTTGGCTTAGGATTGACTTGGCAATGCGGGCTCTTTCTTGGTTACATATGAACTTTAAAGTAGTTTTTTCCAATTCTGTGAAGAAAGTCATTGGTAGCTTGATGGGGATAGCATTGAATCTATAAATTACCTTGGGCAGTATGGCCATTTTCACAATATTGATTCTTCCTACCCATGAGCATGGAATGTTATTCCATTTGTTTGTATCCTCTTTATTTCATTGAGCAGTGATTTGTAGTTCTCCTTGAAGAGGTCCTTCATGTCCCTTGTAAGTGGATTCCTAGGTATTTTATTCTCTTTGAAGCAATTGTGAATGGGAGTTCACTCATGATTTGGCTCTCTGTCTGTTATTCGTGTATAAGAATGCTTGTGATTTTTGTACATTCATTTTGTTTCCTGAGACTTTGCTGAAGTTGCTTGTCAGCTTAAGGAGATTTTGGGCTGAGACAATGGGGTTTTCTAGATATACAATCATGTCGTCTGCAAGCAGGGACAATTTGACTTCCTCTTTTCCTAATTGAATACCCTTTATTTCCTTCTCCTGCCTAATTGCCCTGGCCAGAACTTCCAACACTATGTTGAATAGGAGTGGTGAGACAGGGCATCCCTGTCTTGTGCCAGTTTTCAAAGGGAATGCTTCCAGTTTTTGCCCATTCAGTATGATATTGGCTGTGGGCTTGTCATAGATAGCTCTTACTATTTTGAGATACGTCCCATCAATACCTAATTTATTGAGAGTTTTTAGCATGAAGGTTGTTGAATTTTGTCAAAGGCCTTTTCTGCATCTGTTGAGATAATCATGTGGTTTTTGTCTTTGGTTCTGTTTATATGCTGGATTACATTTATTGATTTGCGTATACTGAAGCAGCCTTGCATCCCAGGGATGAAGCCCACTTGATCATGGTGGATAAGCTTTTTGATGTGCTGCTGGATTCGGTTTGCCAGTATTTTATTGAGGATTTTTGCCTCAATGTTCATCAAGGATATTGGTCTAAAATTCTCTTTTTTGGTTGTGTCTCTGCCTGGCTTTGGTATCAGGATGATGCTGGCCTCATAAAATGAGTTAGGGAGGATTCCCTCTTTTTCTATTGATTGGACTAGTTTCAGTAGGAATGGTACCAGTTCCTCCTTGTACCTCTGGTAGAATTCGGCTGTGAATCCATCTGGTCCTGGACTCTTTTTGGTTGGTAAGCTATTGCTTATTGCCACAATTTCAGCTCCTGTTATTGGTCTATTCAAAGATTCAACTTCTTCCTGTTTTAGTCTTGGGAGAGTGTATGTGTCGAGGAATTTATCCATTTCTTCTAGATTTTCTAGTTTATTTGCATAGAGGTGTTTGTAGTAATCTCTGATGGTAGTTTGTATTTCTGTGGGATCGGTGGTGATATCCCCTTTATCATTTTTTATTGCGTCTATTTGATTCTTCTCTCTTTTTTTCTTTATTGGTCTTGCTAGCAGTCTATCAATTTTGTTGATCCTTTCAAAAAACCAGCTCCTGGACTTTTTAGAATTCTTTGTCAGTCATTTTGCAAATCTCCGTTCCTTTAGGGTCCATTGTTAAGAGTTTTATTAGTTTATTTTGGAGGTGTCATCATTCCTCGATTCTTCACAATCCTTTTGTTCTTGCACTGCTGTCTGTTCATTTGAGGAGGTAGCTACCTCTTTTTATAGGTATTAGTTGGCAGGGATAGACTTTCATTATTTAGTCTAGCCTTTCATTCTAGATTGGCCAACTGGTACCAACCCTGGGAAAGTAGAGCTTGCTTTCTGCTTTCAGGTTCTCCGGATGGCTCAGCTTTTGTCTTTGCTCTGAGTTCAGTTGGGACTACTGGCTGGGCTCTGATTTTTGGTATGACCACTAAATGAGCTATGCAATCAGACAAAATTGCTTGCTCGGATGGTGATTGTCTCTGACTGGGCCAGGCCACAGGATGTATTTCCTGGCTGGATGGTACCACTATTTGAGTTCTGGAGTTGTATGGGGTTGCAGGCTTACTCATAAAGTTAAGTGGGGACACTGCTCAGGATGGAGAGAACAGCTACTACACTTGGTGGGAATGCACATTTGATGTTTGCCTTCCTGACTGGGTAGCACCTTGGGGTGGGCTTTGAGATTTGAGCCAAACCACTGTTTGGATTCCTTGTTGGGGTGCATATAGCCCTTTCACTTTGCCAAAATGCACTGCGGCAAGTATCTCCATCTCTGAGTGGGCTTTGGGGATGATTTTGAGGCTGAGTTGAACCACTGTTAGAGTCCCCAGGTAAGGCATTTCTAGACCCTACACTGTGCTAATAATGGGCTGTGGTATGCATCTCCCTGCCTGGCTGGGTCCCTGTTGTGGGTTTTGAGACTAAGCCAAACCACTGTTTGGGCTTCTGAGTGGGGCAGGTCTAGCCCTTGTACTTTACCAAAATATGCTGTGGTCATCTCCCCCTCTGGACAAGGCTTTGTGGTAGGATCTGGGGCTGGCATGGAGGCTGATTGTCTAGGGATTCAAGCCAGGTAGAACTTCCTATTTCCCGGGGCAACCAGCTTGACTTTGTTGGTTTGTTAATACTGTTCGCTAATGCCCCTAATCACATACCACTGCTGGTGGTTACATAGACCTACCACCAAGATCTGCATGTTTGTCACTATGAGCTTTGCCTTCCTGCTCTGTTTCTACCTGACCACAGGTAGTCTAGCCATGCTATTACCCCTATGCTCCTTGCAAGGTGAGACCAGAGTTGGCTTCCTGGGGGAGGTATCTTGGAACACAGGGAACGTGAATGTCCACCTCTAGTTCTCTTTTCCTACTGTAGAAACTGTGGGCCTAGAAAAATTCTAAGTGGTGTTGTGCTGACTTGGGAGAAAGGGAGAGGTGATGTGGTCAGAGTGAGGCTATTCTTTTTACACTTCTCATGTGGCATTTTGTTTGGTTATTTAGTTCACACAGGTTTCTCAGGCTTAATCTTGAGTTTTGAAGTGTTCACATAGGAGTTTTTGTCTGTGTACAGTTGTTAATTGAACATTCTATGAAGGGTAGGGAAAACTGGGACCTCCTATTCTTCAATCTTCCTGATGTCATAGAGAATCTGCATTTTGAAAAGATCCATACGTGATGGTGATTGATATGGATATTAAAGTTGAGAACTACTAGGTTAAACATCTGTTTTCATGTGAAACATGAAAAATAAGCTAGATTTTGAGTTGCAATTATAGGGTAATACACATTTTTCAACTTTTTCATCTTTAATCTTGTTCATAAGAGGCTGCAACTGATCCAAAAACAACTTATTCCCAGGCTATAGCAAAGGTTTTCAAACTCAAACAATGTAGAATTACAAAATGTAGAGTTCACATCTTCTCTGGCTAAGATAATGTTGACTAATGAAAATAATGGTAGATTGGAAAATCTATTTGAGTTACTATACTTTCTTGTACCTAAGATAAAATACCCATATGATGATTATTGTTAATCCTCTACAGAAACATGATGAAAAGAAGTTTTAGTTGAGCAGAGGAGATAGAAAGCAAGATCACAGGGGGTTGGGGAGTGAATATGAAATGAAGAAGTAGAGGTTGACTATACTCTTTCATGTCACTTGGCACCCTCCAAAGTAAAAGGAATTTGATGTAATCAATTTGCCACCCATTGCTGGCTGGTTTTCTCAAAGATTGGTGCCATATTGAGGGCTTAACATTGGTTTCTCATCGAGGCTGCATCTTCAGTGGCTCAGTGATTTGTCACCAACCTTGGTAAGATAATGCCTGTATTTTTTGGCACGTGCATATTTTCCATTTATACAGCTTTCTTTATATTCCCTTTTATAAGCTCTGAGGTGAATGAAATCAGAGCTGACTGACATTTTTAGATGACTCATTCTTTTCACTTAGCTATTGAGTGCCTCCACTCTGGAGGATACTCTCTAATGGGCACAGAGTTGAGAAACAAAGATCTGCATACTTTGTGCTTATTCTCATAGGCCCATACATAGGCCTCCACCTCAAATTTCATTAAATCTGATTTTTCTGTATTTTGAGGGGGTTTGCTTAGTGAAACTTTTTTACAACAATCATTATACTACACATATCCTTATCTTGCATAGCAAGCTATTTCTCCCAACATTCAAAGTGGACAACTAAGTATATTGCTACCGAATCATTGGCTTACGAGGATTTCCTCCACCACTACATTCTATGGCTACCCTGGAGAGGCGTTAAGCTGCAGCATTAGTCAGTTTTTATCTTGTCTAAGTGTAGATTCAGACAATCCATTTGTGATCCAAGCCTGAGGCTCTTTCTTCATTTATTAGCTGGTTGTGTGAAATACCATGAAGCCATAGGTATGAACTGAGGAAGAGATATTGTCACAATGAAGGCATGTTTGTATCTTATGGAAATGCTTTTTACTGTATCTAATAGTTTTCAATTCATTCTATCAAGTGCCAGCAAGCTCAATATGAGATAGAATTTAATATTGGTAAGATAAGATTGGTTAATGATCAATTTGAAGATAATTACAAATATGGGCACTGTGCACATTTATAACAGTTGAGATTATATTTTATTAAGAATTTCTATCATTTTTTCTCATATAATTAAGAAATATAAACAAAACTGGCATGGACAGGTGAAACTCAGTGTTAAATTTATCAGCACTTTAAAGAGATCCCACCGTTGAAGTCAGTTTGAATGAAGTTCTAAATTGTTTGTATTTTCTTCCTATATAAAAGAGGCTTTCAGGCAAGTATTTAGCTATTTAATTTACATTTCACATGTGAGGTATAATAAAACAACCACTCTTTTCCCCAGAACTCATATAAATCCTGCCTTTCAAACCCAGAAAATATTCTCAACTCAGCTTCCTTGTGACACAAAAACTAATTGCAGTTGCACCTCATTTTGTGGAGCAAATAGCTATGATGGCTTACAAATTAAAACTCTGTAAACTACATTTCATATTGTGATTCCTTTTCATTAAGTTTTTGAGAGTTGTATTTGAAAAAATGGCATAGAACGAAACAAAAGTCAAAATTAAAGCAAGATATTAGTCAAATATTTTATAAAATGGATTTTAAGAGTTTTATTTTAGTACTGTCCAGCAGTACTCAAATAAGTCACACAGTATTAATACTAAATTAGTTATGGTATCAAATCCTGTGTTTAAACTGGGTTTACAACAAAGAAAGCTATATCCTGAGTAATGCTCACCTTTTTGTTTAGGTCTTTGCTGCACTATATTCCAGGTAACGAATCTGCTTTAAATTCCTAATTCTTGGTTGTGTACTCTCTGAAAAAACACTGAATATCAAACTAAGGCTATTAGTCTATTTATATAATGTAAAGACCACTTGCTACATTTTGACAAGCTGGACTACTTAAAACTTGGCTCTTTTTCAGCCAGTATCTCTTAGTGGATAATGATTGGATTATAGTGTTAATTGTGAGAGCAGTCTATGATATCTGTCACATGTGTTACCAATTGCTTTAGCTCAGTAATACAAAAAGGACGTCTGCATTCTTTTTAAAAAGTTGAGTTACATATACACGTTCTGATTAGCATAGACATAGAATTTTACATACGTATTATTCACTTCAACAGAAAATCTAATTCACTGTTGAAACATTCTTAAATAAGACCACAGTAATGCAGATTGTGGTGAGTGGTGTTTAAGATGTTAATGGCTCATTATTATAGCAGTTCTTAAATAAAACAATAAATTTGTAGACAAATATTCATGTATAATAAAGTTAATTTGATAAATGAAAATTCTCTTATTTATATTTTATTAACATCTTTTCCAGTCCTGAAGATTTTCCTCAGATAATCTTTCATCTCTTTGTTCCTGAGACTATATATTAGAGGATTACAGAGTGGTGTTATCACAGAATAGAACAAGGTAATGATTTTTTCATTTTTACTGGGTGTGCTGATCCAGGACTAACATACATCACCAGGATAGAGCCATAAAATAAGGTGACAACTGCCAAATGAGAGGCACAAGTGGAGAAAGCTTTTCGTTTGCCAGCCTCTGAAGGCATCCGTATTATAGCCAGAATCACCAGAGCATAGGAACAAAGGAATAAAGAGAAAGGTGCCAATCATGAAGACAGAATTGAATGTGGAGTAAATGAGCTGGGTGATGATGATGTCTTCAGAACAGGACAGCATCTTCAATGGGACGGGATCACAAATAAAATGGTTGATAATATTTGGGCCACAGTAGGATAGCTGTGAAATGAGAATCACCAGAGTTAGGAAGATTACAAAGACACATGACCATGCAAAAATGATGAGGCCAGTGCATACTTGTTTAGTCATGATGCATGGATAACGTAGAGGGCGGCAGATGGCAAGATACCTGTCAAAGGCCGTGATGCAAAGGAAGAAGCCCTCATCATACCCCAAAGAGAAGAAGTAGAACTGTGCAAAACAACTCATGAATGAGATGGACTTGCTTGTGGAGAGGAAGTTGGCCAGCAGTTTAGTTGCAGTAACATAACATATTTCCAGGAGAGAGAAATTTCCCAAGAGGGTGTACATGGGAGTGTGAAGGTGCTGGTCCTACCACACAGCACAGACAATGGCTGCATTTCCCATCGGGGTGAGAGTATAGGCTACTGAGAAGAGACCGAAGTAGAGGAGCTGCATTTCTGGGCTTGAGGGAAAGCCCATGAGGATAAGGCAGCTAACAAAATTGATAGTTTCCATGCTGAACACATTCATTAGTCTGGAAGACATGGAGATGGCAGAGGTAACTGAAACATGAAAGGGAGCGTGCTGTTTCTTCTTGGAAACAACCAAAATTCTTCATCATGTATATTATAAAGTAGTAAACAATTAGACTTTTGTTTAAACAACAAAACTGTGACTTTCATGACTCAATTCCTACACGTTTATTTTAATAAATCACAACAATAGAAGGGAAAATATGAATTGTGGAGAGTTTTTTTTCTTGCTAAGAACACTAGACTTGAAACCAGGAATGCAAATTTTGTGATTCCAATAAATTACCTATATACAATGGGTCTACTCTTTCTTCTGTTTACCTGCATTATTGATACTGTATTTATCTGGGTATGTAGTTCTTTCAACAGTACTATGAATACCTGATTCATTATTATTAGTGGTATAAAAATAAAATACAAAACCAAGATATTTAAAAATACTCTTTCTCAATATAGTGCCATGCCAGGGCACAAATTAATATTTACTTTCAATTTCAGCTACTCCCGGTTACTTGTAGTGTTTTAAAGTGGTAATAAGAAAGAACTCTGTCATTAGAGAATATATGGTCTTTTATGCTGTTTCATGTATCTGTACCAATGTTTAGCATAAAAAATACATTCTTTCATTTTTAGGCAGCTGGATATGCTATATGCTGTGAGGAAGCGTGCCATACTTTGGCTCTTAAATTGCTCTGACTAAATATTTTTATATGCTTCCAGGTGAATGTAAGAACTTCATATGCCTATTATGACATTGACCTTAGGGAGAACAGCTGGTCTGCGTGACTGTGGCCAAGTTCAATGTGCTTGTTTTTTGTTAATCATGGTCAAGTCAGCTGCAGGAAAATAAGAAAGGCAGATAAAGTTTATATTACAAAAGTTTCCATGTTTTTTATTCACTGCTTTCTTCCACATGTTCCTTTTCTTCCTTTGACCTTTGGTGTTATTTTGCATCTCACTGTGGTTGTTTTCTGAGGCCTTTCCTATCTAGGCAAATCCGAAACATAAAACTTTTCCCCTGATTACCCTCCGGTTAACTTCTAGCCCAAATAACAACAAAAACAAGAAAAAGTCATATGAGCTGAAGATTTTTGTTTCTTAAATAATAACTAATTTGTATAATACCAAGTCTTATTAATGTAATGGAACTGAAAAATCAGTATTTGGGCTTAAGAAAGAAAATATTGCTGGAAAGAGAAATATGCCATATTTCTTCTGCTCACCAAGTAACAAAAATTACCAAAATATACCCTTCTCCAGCAATTCATCAGTTAATATACATCTTCACTTGAAATACTATTCTTTTTGTATATATGGCTATTCATATTTTAAAGGGATATGAACCATAATTGGAAAATATTTTCCAGATTTCAGGGAAACAAGAAGAAAAACTTATATTTTTCAGCTTCATTCTTTGCCAGCTTTTCATTCTGAGATATATTTTTAGTTTTCTCAAAGACAAGAAGAAAACATTTTCTATGATTTTTGCAAAAAAAACTGGGTGACTCACATGTTATATACTTCCCATTCGCTCTTTGAGTGAATGCTGAGAAGGTCAGGGACAGGAGACAAAATATTATTCCCCAGAGCCAAAGACATGTGAAGAACTTCCAAGAAATTGCATGATCCTGTTTGTTATCTCTCATGGGTTGCAAAAAGTAAACCCTAAAAGATTTTCCCCACCTTCAAAGCATATATTAATGGTCAAAATGCAAGCTCAAGTGAGTGTATTATATATATCTATTTACTTGCACTATAGCCTTTTGGGACTTGGAGCTCTGTCTCTCTTGGGATATTTTGATAGTGTTTGTTTAAAAGAGGATAACATTTTGAATTTTCACAATCAAAAGCCAGTTCTTACTGTCCCCTAAAGAATAGTGAAAATGTAGAAGCAGATCTTATCTTTTCTTTCTTCTTTCGTGTTCATGTATTGTCAAAACTTCCTGAGGAATAATTAAGTAGTAAAAGGGATTGTCATTTTAGCTACAGTGGTTAGCTTTACCATAATACTCTCTAGATCTATTTTGAAGAAAAATCATTCTCTGGTCATCAAATATTTGTACCTGCAGAGTTATTAGAGATATTTGAGTTGAATTTTATGTAGAGCACAAGAAATTTGATTGACATTTAGTTATTCCACAGATATTTACTGAATGCCTACTGGATACTCAAACATATACTACATATATTTTTAATTTTTTGAGGAACCTCCATATTGTTTTTCATAATGACTATACAAATTTACATTACCACCAACAGTGTATAAACGTTCCCTTTTCTCTGCATTCTTACTGACTATTACCATCTTTTGTCTGATCATGAACATTCTGACTGGGCTGAGGTGCTATCTCATTGTGGTTTTGATCTGCATTTACCTGATGATCAGTGATGCTGAGGATTTTTTCATATGCTTTTTGGTCATTTGCACGTCATATTTTAAAAAATATCTAGTCAGGTTTTTTGCCCACTTTTAAATTGAATTATTTGGTGGTAGTGTTGTTTTTTGCTATTGAGTTGCTTGAGTTCCTTATATATTTTGAATATTAACCCCTTATCAGATGTATAATTTGCAAAAATTTTCTCTTATTCTGTAGGTCATTTTTTGGTTCTGTTGTTTCTTTTGAGCAGAAGCTTTTTATTTTGATGTAACCTCATTTGTCTATTTTTGTTTTTCTTGCCTTAGCTTTTGCCTACATCAATGTTGTGTAGTTTTACAGCTTTAGGTCTCATGTTTTAGTGTTTAAACTATTTTTTGTTGATTTTTTGTATATGGTATGAAGTAAGGGTATAAGTTCGGTCTTCTGCATATAGATACCCAGTTTTCCGAATACCATTTATTGAAAAGACTGTCCTTTCCCCATTGTGTGTGCTTGGCAGCTTCGTCAAAATATTAGGTGACTGTGTATCACCTGTGGATTTATTTCTGGGCTCTGTATTCTATTCCATTGGTTTATGCATCTGATTTTATGCCAGTATCATGCTGTTTTGGTTACTATAGCTTTACAGTATACTTTGAGGTCAGGTAGTATGATGCCTCCAACTTTGTTCTTTTGGGTCAAGACTGCTTTGGCTATTCCAGGTCTTTTGTAGATTCCATACGTATTTTAGGATTGTTTTTTCTATTTCTCTGAAGGATGTCATTGTTATTTTGATAAATCCATAGCTTGTTTTGGGTAGTGTGAACATTTTAACAATATTAATTATTTGAATCCACGAATGCAGGATTATCTTTCCATTTATTTCTGTCTTCAAATTTTTTTCATAAGTGTTTTATGGCTTCATTATAGGTATCTTTCATATCCTTGGTTAAATTAATTCCTAAGAATTATATTTTTTTATTTTGGAGCTATTGTAAATAAGATTGTTATCTTGAATTCTTTTCAGACAGTTGATTATTACCACATAAAAGTGCTGCTGATTTTTGTATGCTGATTTTGTATTCTGCAACGTTACTGAATTCACTTATCACTTCTAAGAGTTGTCTTGATAACGTTTTTATGTTTTTCTCTATATAAGATCATGTCATCTGCCATGAGAAACAATTTGACTTCTTCTTTTCCAATTTGAATGCGTTTTATTTCTTTCTCTTGCTGATACTCTGGCCAAAACTTCCAATACTATATGAAATAGGTGTTGTGAAAGTGAGAATCCTTGTCGTTTTTCAGTTCTTAGAAGAAGGATTTTCTGTTTGTCCTATGTCAGTATGATTTTCACTGTGAGTTTCTGATATATGGCCTTTATTATGTTGAGGTATGCTCCTTCTATGCCTAAATTTGTTTAATTTTTATCATGAAGCAATGATAAATTTTATCAGATGCTGTTTTTGTATCTATTGAAATGATCATACACTTTTTGTCTTTTATTCTATCAGTGTAATGTATCAAACTTTTTGATTCATTTATACTGAATAACCCTTGAATTCCTGGAATAAAACCCACTTGGGCGTGGTGAACTGTCTTTTTAATGTGTTATTGGATTCAGTTTGCTAGTATTTTGTTGAGAATTTTCGCATCTAAGATCATGTTATTGCCTTGTAATTTATTTTCTTTCTTTTCTTTTTTCTTTCTTTCTTTTTCTTTTCTTTCTTTCTTTTCTTTCTTTCTTTCTTTTCTTTTTCTTTTTTTCTTTCCTTCCTTCCTTCCTTTCTTTTTACTTACTTTCTTTCTCTCTTTTCCTTCCCTTCCCTTCCCTTCCCTTCTTTTCTTTCTTTCTCTTTCTTTCTTTCTTTCTCTCTCTCTTTTCCTTCCCTTCCCTTCCCTTCTTTTCTTTCTTTCTCTTTCTTTCTTTCTTTCTTTCTTTCTTTCTTTCTTTCTTTCTTTCTTTCTTTCTCTTTCTTTCTTTCTTTCTTTCTTTCTTTCTTTCTTTCTTTCTCTCTCTCTCTCTTTCTTTCTTCTTTCTTTCTGACAGAGTTTCGCTCTTGTTGCTCAAGCTGGAGTGCAATGGTGCCATCTCAGCTCAATGCAACCTCCGCCTCCTGGGTTCAAGTGATTCTTCTGCCTCAGCCTCCCGAGTGGCTGGGATTACAGGTGCCCACCACCATGCCCAGCTATTTTTTTGTGTGTGTGTTTTTAGTAGAGACGGGGTTTTATCATGTTGGCCAGGCTGATCTTGAACTCCTGACCTCAGTTGATCCACCTGCCTTGGCCTCCCAAAGTGCTGGGATTACAGGTGTGAGCCACCGTGCCTGGCTTTTTCTTTTTTTTTAATTGACTTTAAACTTTGGTATGTATGTGGTAGGTGCATATATTTATTGAGTACATGAGATACTTAGATACAGGCATGTAATGCATAATAATCACATAATGGTAAATGGGGTATCCATTCCCCTCAAGCATTTTTATCCTTTGGGTTACAAACAATTCAATTACACTCTTTTAGTTACTTTAAAATGTACAATTAAATTATAATACACAATAGTCATCCTCTTGTACTATTAAATACTAGATTTTATTCATTCTTTCTAACTACTTTTTGTGCCCATTAACCATCCCTACCTGCCCTCCCATCCCCCTAACCACTATCTTTCTCAGTTTCTGATAACTTTCCTTCGACTCTATATCTCCATGAGTTCAATTGTTTTAATTTTTAGCTCCCACAGTAGGATTTATCCCAGGGATGCAAGAATGGTTCAATATGTGCAAATCAATCAATATGATAAACAATAAACAGTATGAAGGAGAATAACCATATGATCATTTCAACTGATGCTGAAAAATTTGATAAAGTTCAACATCCATTCATCATAAAAATTCTAAAAAACTGGGTATAGAAGGAACAAACTGCAACATAATAAAAGCCATATATGACAGACCCACAGATAGAATTTTGCTGAATGGAAAGAAACTGAAAGCCTTTAATATCTGGAGCACAACAAGAATGCCAACTTTTACCACTTCATTGACTATAGTACTAGAAGTCCTAGCTAAAGCAGTCAGACAAGAGAAAGAAATAAAAGGCATCCAAATTGGAAAGGAAGAAGTCAAATTATCCTTGTTTGCAGATGATGTGATCTTGTATTAGGAAAGACCTAAAAACTCCACCAAAACACTATTAGAACTGATAAACAAATTTAGTAAAGTTGCAGGATACAAAATCAACATATAAAAGTCAGTAGCATCTCCATATGTCAACAGTGAACTGTCTGAAAAACAAATCAAGAAAGTAATCCCATTTACAATAGCTACAAATAAAATTAAATACCTAGGAATTAACCAAAAAAGTGAAAATCACTACAATGAAAACTATAAAACATTGACGAAAGAAACTAAAGAAGACACAAAGAAACGGAAAGATATTCCATGTTCATTAGCTGAAACAGTCATTGTTAAAATGTTATACTACCAAAAGCAATCTACAGATTCAATCTCTATCAAAATACCAATGCCATTCTTCACAGAAATAGAAAAAACAATCCTAAAATTGATATAACCAAATGACCCAGAATACCCAGAGCTATCCTGAACAAATAAACCAAAACTGGATAAATCACATTACCTGACTTTAAACTACACTATAAAGCTATGGTAACCAAAACAACATGGTACTGGCATAAAAAACAGACCCATAGGTCAATGGAACAGAATAGAGAACCCAGAAGCAAATCCGTACATCAACAGTGAGCTCATTTTCTACAAAAGTGCCAAGAACATACATTGGGGAAAGAACAGTCTCTTCAATAAATGGTGCTGGGAAAACTGGATATCCATATGCAGAAGAATGAAACAAGACCCCTATCTCTTGGCATATACAAAAATCAAATTAAAATGTATTAAAGGCTTAAATCTAAGACCTCAAAAAATTAAACTACTAAAAGGAAACATTGGGGGAAACTCTCTTAGATATTGGTCTGGGTAAAGATTTCTTGAGCAACACTCCACAAACACAGGTCACCAAAGCAAAAACGGACAAGTGGGATCACATCCAGTTAAAAAGCTGCTGCACATCCAAGGAAAAACAATCAATGTGAAGATCAAACCCACAGAATGGGAGAAAATATTTGCAAACTGCCCATCTGACAAGGGATTAATAACCAGGAAACAACTCTATAGGAAAAAACCCTAATAATCTAATTTAAAAATGGGCAAAGGATCTGAATAGAGATTTCTCAAAAGACAATACAAATAGCAAACAGATACATAAAAAGGTGCTCAAACACCATTGATCATCAGAGAAATGTTCCTCAAAGCTACAATGAGGTATCATCTCACCCCATTTAAAATGGCTTTTATCCAAACACAGGCAATAGCAAATGCTGGTGAGGAAGAGGAGAAAAGGGAACTCTCATACTCTGTCAGTGGGAATGTGAATTAGTACAACCACTATGGAAAACAGTTTGGAGATTCCCCCAAAAACTAAATGTAGAGCTACTTTACGATCTTGCAACCTCATTGCTAGATGTAGACCCGAAAGAAAAAATAGCAGTATAACAAAGAGTTATCTGCATTCTCATGTTTGTTTTAGCTTTGTTCACAATAGCCAAGATTTGGAAACAACCTAAGTTTCCATCAATAGATGAATGAATAATGAAAATGTGGCACATACATATACAATAGAGTACTATTCAGCCATAAAAAAAATCAGATCATTTGCAACAACATGGACGGAAATGGGGATTATTGTGTTAAGTGAAATAAGCTAGGCACAGATAGACAAACTTCCCATATTCTCACTTACTTGTGGGAACTGAAAATTAAAACGATCGAATCATGCAGATAAAGAGTAGAATGATGGTTACCAAAAACTGAGAAGGATGGTGGAGGTGTGGGATGTGGAAAAATGGGGATAGTTATGGGTACAAAAAGATATAAAGAATAAATAATATTTAGTATTTGATAGCACAACAGGGTGAATATAGTCAATAATGACTCAATTGTCATTTAAAAATAACCAAAAGAATATAATTGGATTGTTTGTAACACAAAGGATAAATGCTTGAGGGGACGAATACCCCATTTACCATGATGCGATTATTATGTATTGTATGCCTGTACCCAAATATCTCATACTCTATAAATGTATACACCTACTCTGTACCCACAGAAATAAAAAATAACAAAACAAAAAACATTGTTTAGCAAGCCCAGCTAAGGGTCATCTGACTCTCTAGCAAATGTGATTTTGTTTAACTTACTATATATGAATTATGGAATCTCAGACATTGTATAATTACATATAGCTAGATGTTATAGAAAACTGCTACATTGTATCTTTTTAGTGTGGTAGAAAAGATAATCCCAAAGATTAAGGTCGTATTGCCCCTTTTTATAGCTGTATGAAAAAATATGAATATTTTTGTTATGTTGATATTTTTAACTTTTAAGTTCAGAGGTACACGTGCAGGTTTGTTATATAGGTAAATCTGTGTCATGAGACATTAACTGGATTACATCAAATTTAACAATTTTATTTTAGTGTTCATTTTTTTGCTGTGATTATGTAAAATCACACTTTTCATATTCTTTTTGGAACGGACTTTGTTATCCTGCTATCCCTCATTAATTAAATACAGTTTTTGATGTGTTCATTATGTATTTGTTTGAGAATTATGTTTTATGATATTTAAAAATTAGACTGACAGTCTATAAAAAATTAAATTACTAATGACAACAGCTGTGTTTTCTGGATACGATCTATGAATAAATGCCAGTAGGTAAGCTGCTTGAGGTTTCAAGAAATCAGGTGTTGTATCAAGACACTCTATATTACCTTAAAGGATAAATACCAAGCTATCCCTGGAATTATCTCAGAGATAAATACCTTAGGTTGGTATTTATCCTTCAGCTTCTGCTACTTCAAGGAGCATGATTGAGATAAAAACCAGTGAGAATCTTCTTCAGATACAGACTGAGGCATTGAAAATGGATGGCATATACAAACAAATCAATGACAAATTACAAATAAATCAATCCAAAGTAAGTAAAATAAGTGGGTTCTGTTATGCAACAGGTCTAATTGCTTCAGAGCCTGCAGGTCCCAAGGTCAACTTCCTAGCAAGAACTAAATTTAACAGAACTCAAACAGCAGCAGCCTAGGGAATCCCAGGGCTCATTAAGCTAAGTAGTGTTGTAAGAACCATAGCAACCTCAGATACAGCTAGAGTCCTAGGGATAGGAGATATTTCCAGTTCATACAGCCAGCCGTCAACTAGGGCTTGGCTTATAAGGAAGCAATTAAGACATGTGCTGGGCAGCTGTGATGGTCACCTGAGGATTGTCCATTTTGCTGGCCTGAGGCTGAAGAGAGGGTTGGTAGGATGAATGGCAGGATAACATCTTCCTTCCTTGAAACCACATAGCTTCTGACAAGCAAAGATGTAGGTTTCTCAGATATATTTACTCAAAGCTCCCCTCCCCTTCCTGCTCCTCTGTCTGACTCTGATGCTATTTTTATGTTTACTGTTGTCCTCACTCTTTTTCTCTATATACTCTGGCATTGATCATTTTTAAATTTAAGAGATCATTTGAGTTTTGTTGTTTTAAATTTACACTTAGAAACATTCACAGAACAGTGAAATTCCTATAGCATCAAGGAATTCTAGGGCTAGTGGCATCTTAGAAGACAGTTGCAATATTTGGATACGATAGGACCAAATTTACATAACTGAAGGCACAGGTTTCATGGCAATATTGTCTTAAGACTACCTAATTCTGTTATAGTCCCTTCTAGATTCTGTTTTCCATTTCTTTAATTATTAAAGTTTCTTTTTACTAAAATCTTCTTTACGTTCCACAGGTACAATATAGAATGCAATGTTTCAAACAAGGCCAAAGAAGTTTAGAACAGAAAGATTGTTTCTTTCTCAATAGAGAATACCACTATAGGTACCATCTTCAACTAATGGTGTCCACTTCTTGTTTTTCAGGAGAAATTTAAAAATGCATCAAATGCGTCTAAAAGGAATTCATATGGAATTGAAACTCCAGCTAGCCAATTATTTTCTATTGTTGAGATAGTCAAATTTCCTCCTCTAATAATGCATTTAGCTCCACACAGACCAAAATAAATACAAGACAAACATAATAGCAAAATATGGTATACTGTTATGCTTAAAACACACACATGCACAAGTTACCAGGAGAAAAATTTTACTCCTTTTCTTCATATTTTCCTCATAAACATCTCTGGTTCCTTGTTTAGAAAGACAAGAGACCAGCTGCTCAGCTGTACACAAGTAGCCTTTGATTATTTAAGGTGCTTTAGTTTGTCCTCTTCTCTCTAAGCAGGACCCTTCCATAAAGACTTTCATTTTGCATTAAGCATTCTCAATTTTTTTGGCTCATTTTGTGTACTTAAAAATATTTTTATTGACTTTTTCACATTCTTAGGTTATTTTTAGGATATGAAACATGAAATGCTTGGTAGGGTCTGATCTTACTGCTAATGGGATAATGGAGCTGGTATTTTTGAATGTGGCTTTCCAAGCTCTGCAGGGCTTTGGCAAGGGAAATTATATTGTGACTGGGGTTAGTTTTGGGATGTAGACATTCGTTCATGTTGTTGGGTGTATTGTTCTTTTTATTCTTTGCAGAACAGTGACAGGCTTAATTTCCTACTGTGATCAGACTTCAGAAGCTGGGAGATGACTCAACCAAATGTGGAAATGTTATTAAACCTAAAAGGGAGCTTTCTATATTGTTTAGTATTATGTTTTATATTGTCTGAAGATTGCAAATTTACTGTCATTAAAAAAAAAATCCAAGAATAACCAGAATCCAGCCCTTACCTTGATTAAAACTCAAATAACTAACATACAGGGCTGCCTATTTTTAACTTATGCAAGTGTAAAGATTTTTATATCATTATTAATCAAAATCTTATCACAGTAATCACCTAGGAACTGTCCAGAATATTTATAGTGCTGAAATTTCCTAATATTAAATCTTACTTTAAACAAGTAGGCCATAAAATCAGGCTTATAAATGGTTTGTAGTAATTTGGCTTATAACATATTTTACATATTCTTCTCTTATTTAATCTATCCTTCTGATTTATTTAATTTTAATATTGTCTGTTTTAATGTAATCTTTTCTTTCCCAACATATGTTCAGTGGAAATAACAAGTGTACCGTACACCCTTGGTATACTATGCCCTTCACATTAGGAAATAATCACATTGTTTCTCAGCCATATTCTGAGACTAAATTATAACAGTGTGTAGGATTATGTGTTCCCATTGTTTTCTGGCTTCTAGAAACCTTTTTTAATTAAAAAAATAACTTTGGTTTCTCTTTCTCAGACTTTTCCAGTTTTCCCAAGATTATTTTAAAAATTAGATGCATAATTTTAATGAGACTTGACCCCTGTTAATTATACATTTTAGATAACTGAAAAGAACATCAAAATGATGTTTTCTTATGGAACTTTACAATCCTTGGTGCATCCAAAAAAGATTAGAGAATTTCCAATATAGCAGAGCTCAAGTAGGGCTGTACACATAACAGCAAATCGTTCCCTAACTTGTATTTCTTGCTTTGGTTTATTTTCCAATTGACTCTAGAAAGTGAGGTGATTCCTTCTATCAGTTATGAGATTATAGATTTAGATGCACCTGTGCACTTGGCTATATAGGTAGATGAAGAGGATGGTCACAATCATGGTGTGACAGAGGCGTCCAAATGTGACTTGAGCCCCAAATCTCTCTCTCACTGGCTTATCTTGGAATAATACCCTAGAGAAAGTTTTCTTGTCATTAGAGGTTTTCATTTTTAGAATTTAAGTACTTTTCTGCATTGTCTATGTAAATACCTGATATCTATTATGAAGGATTTTATTGGATAACATTCTCTGAATGACTTGATAGAACCAAGTGCAACATGGATTACAAAGCTTGGAACACAAAATAAAATCTTGTCTTATTTCATATTTTGTCTATAGCTGGTTCTAGATAAAAAAAAATTCTAGACAGGGAGACATCTACTAATTTTTACTGCAATGGAAGAAATGTATCAACATTCTCTGATTTTCTGTTTGTAATCCAAGGTACTGTCACCAAACATTGGGGATGAATATGAGTGTAGAGCAGGGGAAAATATATCTAACAATATCTTAGCAAATCTTTTATTTTCTTATGTATCTATGGTTGTTGAAAAGTCCAGAAGCAACACAACTCTGGTTTCTCTTATTACTTTGTCCTGTAAAAGGGTCATGGTGGGCTTTTGTGCATGCCTCCACGATATGGGTCATGGCTCTTGGTCTCTTGTCTTGGTGATTGGTGTCTTTTAATCATTGTCCTACTCATCCCCAGTCTGATGCTTCCCTAAATCTTAAAGATTGAGACTGTTTCTTCTTACCTCATTTTTACAAACTTCCCAATTTCTGTAACCTGGGATAGTAAAGACAAAAAATATGAGCTTTTTCAATCCTTCCTAAATGATTTGTTTCCTAATATATTTATTCACAGTAACTACTAAACTTTGTACAACATAGCAATTTGTTGTTTACAAAACATTCTTCCTTCGATTTGATAAATTATTGAGCTTCTGCTATGCAGTAAATATTGTGTTGTGGATACAAAGATGAGTAAGATATTTCCTCATCTTGAGAGATCTAGTTTTTTTTTTATGGTGCACATAGGCATTACATTTGATTCTCAGAACAATCTTGGGAGATATTATTAACTCTGCATTAAATTGAATAACCAAAGAACAAAATTCAGAGAGGTTTATTTCCTTGCCTGAGAGTACTCCATTGGTAATGGTGGAGCTAGGCATTCGATCTAGATACTCCATTCCAGAACTTTTGTCCTTAGAGGACATTATTCTGTCTATTAAAAGAAATGGAAAGATTAGCACTTACCACCTCATGTCCAGGTCATTGTGTTTCTTTCTAGTTTATTGTGAATGCAATTTAAAAGTAGTACAGGAATAAAGAGTTGGAAGAAGTGAACAAAATTCAATGTTCTATCAATATAAGACTACTGCCTATACTACCTCATAGAATTTGCTAAAATAATTTTTATGTAATTTATGTATTACATACTATATATATAGTGTATATCTATATCTATCTATATAGATAGATAGATACGTAGATAGATTGATACCTTAAATCTCCCTTGTTCTGATTTAATTCTTCTTTCTCTAGGTCACTTGATATTCTTGGCTTGATGAAAAAAAACAAGATTCTAACGTGACAGAACTTGTTCTTCTGGGCCTATCATCTTCTTGGGAGCTGCAGCTATTTCTCTTATTACTATTTTTGTTTTTTTACATTGCTATTGTCCTGGGAAACCTCTTGATAGTGGTAACAGTGCAAGCCCATGCTCATCTGCTCCAATCTCCTATGTATTATTTTTTAGGTCATCTCTCTTTCATTGACCTATGCCTAAGCTGTGTTACTCTGCCAAAGATGTTAGGGGATTTCCTACAGCAGGGCAAGAGCATCTCTTTTTCAGGATGCCTGGCCCAGATCTACTTCCTCCACTTTCTAGGAGCCAGTGAGATGTTTTTGCTGACAGTTATGGCCTATGACAGGTATGTTGCCATCTGTAACCCTTTGCGCTACCTTATAAGTCATGAACCCCCAGCTGTGCCTTTGGTTGGTTCTTGCCTGCTGGTGTGGGGGTTTTATCCACTCTATCATGCAGGTCATACTAGTCATCCAGCTGCCTTTCTGTGGCCCCAATGAACTGGACAACTTCTACTGTGATGTCCCACAGGTCATCAAGCTGGCCTGCATGGACACCTATGTGGTAGAGGTGCTGATGATAGCCAACAGTGGTCTGCTCTCTCTTGTCTGCTTCTTGGTCTTACTATTCTCTTATGCTGTCATCCTGATCACCCTGAGAACACACTTCGGCCAGGGCCAGAACAAGTTCCTCTCTACCTGTGCTTCTCACCTGACAGTGGTCAGCCTGATCTTCATGCCATGTATATTCATCTATTTGAGGCCTTTCTGCAGCTTCTCTGTGGATAAGATATTCTCCATGTTTTACACAGTGATGACACCTATGTTGAGCCCCCTCATCTACACACTCAGAAATGCTGATATGAAGACAGCTATGAAGAAGCTGAGGATAAAACCATGTGACATTCCATTTCCTTGTTAAAGAATGAGCAGAAGAGGTGATTTGAAAAACATACTCTTTCTTGGAAGACTCTTAACTCATCTTGTACATGTCTAAAAACCATTTTGATGACTTTGGTATAAAAAAGAAGATAGCCTAAAGATTATAATAGATCACTCTTGATTACAATTTAAAAGCACAGGTGGCACTCTGGAAAGCCACCTATGCCTTTTGACCATAATCAAGAGAACTCGGGAACTCAGTAGAATTTACTGGCCACAAATGATAACAAGCATTAATTGAAAGATCAACTTTTCTATCTTCATGTTCTAAGTACTCTTCATTTATTCAATTTGTTCCACTTTTTAATCTATTCAAATGAAACAAGATATGTCTCTTTTTGTGTTCCTTTCCTCCAGCATTTAATGATTCCTAGTGTTAGGAAGTTCCTTCTGATGTCTCATCAGATCCTCTTCTGAAGTAGTGTGAATTTCTTTGTTCTGTTATAACAAAGCCTGAGAAGAGTAACAACCACCTATGTAGTAGTATTTACCTCAGAACTGTGTTCCACAGTGTCCCAAGTTTTAGAAATGTAGTCAGGCATCACTCTAATGAACATATGCTCTTAACAAAGTTTATGTGTGAGAGAAAGGAAGTCCAGGAGTGCAGGGGTGATGGAAGCTGTTAGTATTCTGTTGTAGAGGCTTCTCAAGAAGAGGTACCCAGTTTCACATTGAGTTTTTCTTTGAGTGGAATTACAGTGAGGGTGAATAGGTAAGCTGGCTCTTCAACTGACCATAATGTTTAAGAGTTTTAGCCTCGAAAGGAGGAAGAAATGAACTGTGGTTGAAAGCACTCATTCTTGAGATGCTCACAGTTATTACCTCTGAGTCTCAAACATGTTTGAGGAATAAATTTACCTAACTTCATTTTTGAAAATAAACTCTGAGTTAAGTGACTTGCCCATGACCACTTAGAAAAAATGTAATCAATCAAGAAAGCTGCTTGTAATCCCAGCACTTTGGGAGGCCAAGGAGTTCAGATCATCTGAAGTCAGGAGTTTGAGACCAGCTTGACCAACATGGAGAAACCCCATCTCTACTAAAAATACAAAATTAGCCGTGCATGGTGGCACATGCCTGTAATCCTGTAATCCCAGCTACTCAGGAAGGCTGAGTCAGGAGAATCACTTGAACCCGGGAGGCAGAGGTTGCAGTGAGCTGAGATCGCACCACTGCACTGCAGCTTGGGCAACAAGAGCAAAACTCGGTCTCAAAGAAAAAAAATAAAAGAAAGCTAATAATTATATAATTAAGTTAATATTTTATTTCTCCTCAGAAAGTGTATTTATCCCAATTATACAGATTGCTTCTTTCTTTCTCTTTCTTTCTGTGTCTCTTTCTCTCTTTCTTCCTTCCTTTCTTCTTTCTCTTTCTTTCTTTTTTTTTTTTTTTGAGACAGAGTCTTACTCTTGTCTCCCAGGCTGGAGTGCAGTGGCATGATTTTGGCTCACTGCAACCTCTGCCTCCCAGGTTCAAGTGATCCTCCTGCCTCAGCCTTCTAAGTAGCTGGGATTACAGGCACCGGCCACCATGCCTGGCTAGTTTTTGTATTTTTAGTAGAGACAGGGTCTCTCCGTGTTGGCCAGGCTGGTCTTGAACTCCTAACCTCAGGTGATGTGCCTGCCTCAGCCTCCCAAAGTGCTGGGATTACAGGCGTGAGCCACGACACCTGGCTAGATTACTTAATTTCTATAATACCTGTATAGGAGCTTCAGAGCTGGAAGATCCCTAAAAAGGTTAACTTAAACATTTATATTTAAGATTATCTATCTCTGACATAGGATCCTTGCAATATTTTATGGCTATGAAAAGTCTTTATTCTATTTACTATATAATAAGATAATGACAAATTTTTATAATGTTTTTTATATTTTGTCACTTTATCTCCTAATGAATTGCCATAGAGAGGTATTTATGATTACTTAGCTGAAAAATATACTTGTGAAAAAAAGTCTGAAACTCCATCTAATACTAGGATATACTGGAAAATGCCAATAACCCTGGTCATGTAAGAGCTTTCTTGATATAGGGACAAAAAATATATTTTTATTTTTGTGTTGGGAGTTAATGACTTCATATTTAAGAAGCCATATGTACGTATGTATATATGTATATATTGCTACAGAAGGACTCCTCACAGACTAGGAACTAGGCTGCCATTTGGGAGATTTCTAAATAGTATGGGTGAGGGTGAGAATGGCATACCTGGAACATCATGTTCTTCTTTTTTGCTTTACTCTGCTCTACACTTTTAGAGTTTTTTGCATACGTTGAATATCCTGAAGAGCAGTATGATATCCTGAAGGTAATATTTTGAATATCCTGAAGTGCAGGAAACTGCCCGAGAGTAGTGGGTGAGTTACCAGAAAGATTTGAGTGGTGCTAGGGATTACCAGGCATGTTTCAAGAACATAGAGCTCCAGGCTTTCTCTTAGTATAAGCCGGCTGCAACATCCCCTTTTTCTGATGCTCTCTTTCATAGCAAAATGTATAGTCTTGGCAAATCATTTTAAATGTCCTGTTGATAGCTGGAATTGGTAGCGTTATTTTAAGAAAAGCAAGAGCGTTTTGTATTCCCTTTTGCATTTTCAAGTCTCTCTTTGTTTCCAGGAACAAAGCCTACTTGATCGTGGTGAATTAACTTACTGATGTGCCGCTGAATTTGGTTTGCTAGTATTGTGTTGAGGATTTTTGCATCTATGTTCATCAGGATATTGGCCTGATGTTTTCTTTCTTTGTTTTGTTTCTGCCAGATTTTGGTATTAGGCTGATGCTAGCTTCATAGAATGAGTTAGGGGGGAGCCCTTCCTTTTTGATTTTTTTGGGAATACTTTCAGTAGGATTGGTACCATTTCTTCTTTATATGTCTGGTAGAATTCAACTGTGAATTCCTCTGGTCCTGGGCTTTTTTTGGTTAGTAGAGTTTTTTTTTTTTTTATTACTGATTCAATTTCAGAGCTTGATATTGACTTATTAAGGATTACAGTCTCTTCCTAATTCAATCTTAGGAGATTGTGTTGTTCCAGGGATTTATCCGTTTCTTCCAGATTTTCTAATTTGTGTGCATAGAGTTGTTCATAGTATTCTCTGAGGATCTTTTGTATTTCTGTGGGATCAGTTGTAATGTCATTTTTGTACTTTTTGACTGTACTCATTTGGATCTTCTTTTTTTTTTTTTACTATTTTTTTAATCTAACTAGCAGTCTAACAATCTTATTTTTTCAAAAGACTAACTCTTGGTTTCATTGACGTTTTGTATAGATTTTTGCACCTCACTTTCATTAAGTTGTTCTCTAATTTTTGTTATTTCTTTTCTTCTGCTAGCTATGGAGTTGGTTTGTCCTTTATTTTCTAATTCCTTGAGGTGCAAAGTGCAGGAGGATGAAGCTAGACCCTTGCTTTTCAGCATGTAAGAAAATTAACAGGATAGATTAAAGATTTAAATGTAAGGCCACAAACTATGAAAATCCTAGACCAAAATCTAGGAGATATTTTTCTTGACATTGGCCTTGGGAAAAAAATTAGCTAAGTCCCCCCAAAGAAATTGCAACAAAACCAAAAATTGACAAGTGGGACCTGGGTAAACGAAAGTGCTTCTGTACAGAAAAAGAAACTATCAAGAGGGGAAACAGACAACTTACCGAATGGGAGAAAATATTTGCAAACTGTGCATCTGACAAAGGTCTAATATCTCAAATGTAAATAGAACTTAAACAATACAACAGACAAAAAACAAATAGCCCTATTAATAATGGGAAAAGGACACGAATAGATCCTTCTCAATAAAAAGACATGCAAGGAGCCAACAAATATACAAAAAAATGCTTATCACTAATCATCAGAGAAATTCATACCAAAACCACAATAAGATACCATCTCATGCCAATCAGAGTGGCTGTTATGAAAAAGTCAAAAAACAACAGATGCTGGTGAGCCTGTAGAAAAAAGGGAGTGCTTGTACAGAGTTGTTGGGAATGTAAATTAGTTCAGCCTCTGTGGGCAAAATTTTGGAGACTTCTCAAATCACTTAGAACAAAGCTACTATTTGATCCAGCAATCCTTTTTTTTCCTCTCTCTCTCTCTCTCTCTCTGTGTGTGTGTGTGTATATATATATAAAATATTTTATATATAATATTTTATATATATATAATATTTTATATATATATAATATATAATATTTTATATATATATAATATTTTATATATATAAAATATTTTATATATATATAATAGATTATGCCAAATAGATTATGCCAAAAAGACCAAAAAGACACACACAGTTGTATGTTCTTTTCAGAACTATTCAGCAAAGACGGAATCAACCTAGGTGCCCATAAATGGTAGACTAGATAAAGAAAATATGGTACATACATTATCAGATACTACGCAACCATACAAAAGAATGAAATCATGTCTTTTGCAGCAACATGAATGGAGCTTCAGGCAATAATCTTAAGCAAATTCATGCAAGAACAGAAATCCAAATACTACATGTTCTCACGTACCAGTGGGAGCTAAACATTAAGCACACATGGACATGTACATGGGAACGGTAGACACTGTGGACTACAAAAGGTGTGATGAAGGGTGGGGGGATGGGTTGGGAAACTACCTGTTGGGTACTATACTTACTACCTTGGTGCAATAAACCCACGTAACAAACCTGCACATGTACCCTCTGTATCTAAAATAAAAGTTGAAATTAAAAAAAGAATGAAAGGGAATGAATAAAGCTGATGTTTATAGGCCCTCCCAAAATTTCTGGCTCATAACATGCTTTGAAAGATTTTATAAAATCATTTTTAAATTTAATAATTTTTAAAATTTGGAATGGTTATAGATTTACAGAAATGTTGAATATCACATAATATAATTATACCTCATGCTATTTTCCTTATTGTTATATTACTATGGTACATTTGTCAAACTAATATTGATACATTACTACTAACTACATTGCACTTTTCATTCAGATTTCATTAGTTCTTAATGAAACGGCTTACTCAAGTTGTCTATTTTTTATTTATCATGGCAGTTATTTAATTTATTGCCGTTATGTCCTTTATATTCCCAAAAAACTTTTTGTAATTATTCTGTAAATAAATACTTGAAAATACTTGGTGAGCTTCCATTACTTACAGGAAATGGTGAAATCTATAACATAAATACAGTGCAGTTCTAGTTTTTATCTTTTTAAGTGAATATTTGACTTCCCCCCACCACTCTGTTCACATCTGTGCATGGTTTCTTATTTATTTATTTGACATGTAAAACTTGTATATATTTGTCATGTACATGATGTTTTGAAATAAATATGTCTACATAGTAAAATGGCTCAGTTGAGTTGATTAGCATATACATCCTAGCCCTACCAGTCTCTCCCTCTTATTTCATCAAACCTATACTTTCTTGTTTGCATGTTCTATCCTGCCTCAGATTCTGATACACATATGAGATTCTGTAGGGGTGTAGGGTCTGCATGGTGATAAGAAAATCTAGGATAATAACTAAGATTTCTCATACTACAACACCACTCTACACCTTAGGCCTTGTTCTAGTAGAAAAACTTGTTCCAAGATCAATTATCAATCCTAATTCCAATTTTTGCCCAGTCCTGCTCCACAGTTTGAACTTCTGAACTATGTGCAGCTTCCTCATATTTCTATGTTTCTGAACATGCTGCTACTTCTGCTGGAATTCTTGACCAACTTTTCACCTTCAATACTCTAATTAAAAGTGTTGTTTTCAGCCAGCTTTCAGAATGGTTTTACAAGGAGTTATTTAGTAGAGACTACACTTGCACCTCTGCCTAATCATATTCTCCAGCTGCTTACCCAATCACTTGTGCAGCATTTCTCTCAGGGTTTTGATGATGCATAAAGATTGCGGAGAGTTTCTTCCCTTTGGCATCCAGGAATGTAGAAGTCTTTTGCATACCAAGGTTAGAAGCTATGGCATGGTTGTAAACTCATAAAATACTATCTTTGTGAGGGAGAGAGAGAGAGGAGAGAGAGAAAGAGAAAACAAACTCAAGACCACTTTTTAGACTGTACAAGAGGAAATGTGGCATGTATATAAGAGAAGCATCATTATATAAATCTGTCTTTTAGTGTGCGTATCTTGGTATCAATCACATTTTTATTTCAAAGGCTTTTCTGATCCAAGATCTCAGATTGTTCAAATCCATGAGGTGGGACCACACTCAAGAAAAAGTCCAGGGTAAGCTTTCCATCTAGAATGATACCTTAACCACCAGTGAAAGAAGCAAGGTCAATTTTCATTGATTCAAATTATATTCAAAGGTAAATTCTTTACTTCTGTAAATTATTCACCTGCTTTACAACGTCTGTTCTAGTAATTAATTTAAGAAATAGTATATTACAATTTAAAGTGTGTATCAATATAATTTCAGTTGGAATTTAGTCCTAGGTTTACTAGGTTTACCACCATCAGTAAACTTAGATAATTTAATTCCCTCTCTTGACCTTATTTGTTTCCCAGTGGTTAGATGAGTGTGAAAAAATCAATCTCTAAAATCTCTTATACATAGATAAGTATAGGACTTAACAAATTATGCTTCAGTCTAAGATGATTTAAGGAGATCATTTAAAACTGCTGCTCTAAAATAAATGGTTTTATGTCAGGAATTGGGTCGTGCTCCTCGTTTTATATTCACAGTGCAGTACCAGACACAGATAATATGTTTAGTAAATATTAAGTGAAAAGATAAATTAATATTGGTACTTAAGAAATATAACTCAAATAGATGATACCTTAAGCAATCTATATATTGTGCTATGCTAACTCATTTGCAGATTTTTTTCAATATTTATCCTTATATTTCAGCTCCACAAAGACTAGTAATTGTTTCCTCAATTGGAGCCAATTAGAGGAACAGGATAGGATTAATAAGTAATAAAATAATGTCAGGTAACAAGAGACATAAAAACATGCACATGTGTTATAATGTCTCTATGAGGGATATTGAAGTCAAGAACACTATTGCACGAAAAGTTTTCCATGAGATAGAACTTGCTGTTAGGAAAGAGATCTAGAATAGTATATGGCTGCCCTTTGTAAATCCCTCATGAGAGGAACTAAGACAGTCTCTTTCCCAGAAGATTCCAAGAGTTGCATTCTTTGAAATTGTTCTATTGGAAATAATTTATGTAGGCTCATGGAGTTAAACAAAGGAGGAAACATTTTTAACTACGCAAATCTTATTTCAACTAATATATATTCTTTAGCATTGTCTTAGAGAGATCAAGTTTAACCTAAGAACCTGGGTAGACCAGTAGAAACAATCCACCCCATAGAGGCTCTGGTTCATAGAGTTCAGACGTCTGATACTGGTGTTCCTGAAATTCTACCACAAAAATGATCAAGAGTTAGTTTGGCAGATTGTTTATTGCTTTTTTGTCCATTATCTAATTTGAGTCTTACCATGGGTAGCATTATCTCACAGGGGAGATTAGTAGATGCTAGAAAAATTATGTTAATGTTACACAGTCTGAAGAGGCAGAGCTGTGAGTTGTTCTATCTTTAAATCTTGTGCAGTTTCTCCCAGCAAAGATAGCAAAAAGATCTTGGGTCCTAGACTATGATTAATTTGATGAACTCCTCAGGAGGAGTCTAGATAAAGTTGAGTTGTCACCACTCAGGGTGAATAGATCAGCTTCCCAAACATCTTTGGGCATCCATGCTTGAACTCTTAAATACATCTATGCAAGAATATAGAATGTACTCTGTTGCTGCTCCAGTCAAAGGAGTATACTTGGGAGGGTAGGTGTGAGCAGTAGATACAGTCTAAGATTTGGACAAGCATAAGCATGCATATAGGTGAGAATCAGGAGATTAACATAGTAAGGAGGTTAGTGTTCTAAGATGACTCCTATCCAGGCTTCTGGCTCTCCTTCCAATCAACATTTTCTCTGATAGCAAAGATGGATAATGATAATTATATATTTGCTTAAAGTATGTTATGCACATAAGTGCTTTATATGTAATATATTTAATATGTATAACACTCTATATAAATGTACTATTCTTATCCACATTTTACACTTGAGAAAACTGAGGCAAAGGGAAGTGAAGTAACTTGCCTAAAGTCATAAAGTTAGTAAATGCTGAAGCTGAAATTTGAAAGTAGACCAGTTAGGGTTCCAGGCATCTTTTTCACAACTTCTCTCCCCCACCTTCCATCGCAGCTACTCTACTCCTGTGGCTGGATCTTTCTTTATGGCACCCCAATTAATTCAATTGCTAACTTTTAAGCTTAACACACAAGACTCTGTAATCTAGACTTGCCTTCTTGTCAGCCTCATCTCCTGACACTTTCCTATGTGGATTGTGTGCTGAATCATACTCAACTTGCTGGCACTCCCCAAAGAGGATGGTGTAATGATTTTTACCTTCACATATTCTATTTGCTAGGCCTGGAAAGTTCTTCCTGCCCTGTCTATTCTTTTGTGCCCACACCCTGCAATCCTCATCATCATCAGTTTAACTCTAACTCATCTATCAGAATTCCACTCAGTGACAACGTTTGAAAAGGCAGTCCTGTCTCTCCTGGGCTTCCTTCCTGAGCCCCTTCACAGAGAACTGTCACAGTTTACATGTGGACCTCCTCCACTTGATTGAGAATACTTGCCAAATCAAATAATGACTGAATGAATGATCAGTATCACATCACTTGTTATTACATCCCCACTGTAAATTTAATTTGAGAAAAGTTGGCACAGACTCTATGCTGTGATGATCTTGCTAGTTGCAGCTATAGTCTTTGTCTCTAAATAGTGTATATAATTAAAAAAAACTTTTCATGATTAGAAGAAAAGGAGTCTTTTGATTATTGTAGAAGGTTTAAGGCTTTCAAATGAGAAACATATTTGGTGGCTTTGATGCCATCAGACCCAGGATATGCATAGTAGTTAGGAAAATAGATCCTGAAGACTCATTGCGTGGGTTCAAATACCAACTCTGCCAATCACTAGATCTATAACCTTGGGGAAGTTACTTACTCTTTCTGTGCTTCAGTTTCCTCATTTCTGAAGTGGGAATAGTAGTGATGGACTACTTTATAAGATCATTGTGGGAGTTAAATGAGCTATATGTAAAACATCTAGAATCAAACTTGGCATATAGTAAGTACAATGTGTTTTCTGTTTACCTAAACATTTTTTCAGCCCTTATGATTTTGCCAACTGGTGATGACTGAGCGCAATTTGACTTTGCTGGTATAGGACGCCGATTATTTAAAGATTTTAGGAATGTGAAACATATTCTCCAATTGAAGGACTTTGCACGATAAGGAAGCAATTGTTTAAATTCAATTCTTTTTGTGGTGGCAGGTGACAGTAATCCCAGCTACTTGGGAGGCTGAGGCAGGAGAATCACTTGAACCCAGGAGGCGGAGATTGCAGTGGGCCGAGATCACGCTGTTGCACTCCAGCCTGGGTGACACAGTGACACTTCCTCTCCAAAAAATAATAGTAATTAAAAAATAAAATAAAGAATAAGTTCAGTTCTGTTTATGAGAAATTTATCTATCTAATCTTTCTATCTACCTATGATTTATTTAAGGATATGTCAGTTATGTGTGTTCTGGAGAAAGAATACCACAATTATACCAGTCCTTTCACGGAAAATTATATTGGGCAATTTGCCTCTTTAATCTTTAGTGCTACTCTGTAAAAAGGAGATAATAAAAATTATTATATTTTTGTGAGGATGGAATTAAATAACATATGCAGAGTTTAGCACACGATTCTGCACATGGTAAAATGCTCAGTAAATGTTAGCTTCTATTAATGATATTTCTTTAATGGAGATTGGCAGATATTATAGCTATTATCTCAGAAATAAAATTGTATATGTTTTTAATATTTTCTAGTAGTTACATTATATAGCTTTTATATAATAACTAAATACACCAAATTACAAATTATGCTTACTAGAGAGATTCCACTTGATAGATTCTAATTAAAAGGAAACACCTCATAAATTCAAAACATGTTCTATAGATCTCATTTGAATTCTGAAACAGCTTTGTGAGGTAAAAAATTTTATCATTCGTCTTCTATAGGTGAGAAAACTGAGATCCAGGGAAGATAAATAGATTTACCCAAAGTTATAAAGCTGATGAGGGCACTCAAACTTACACCACTCAGCTTCTGGGCAGTGCTCTTTCTGCTCTCCATGCAGAAAAGAGGTATTCTGAGTAAAGACGGAAAATAGCTAGTAATTTTCATATTTCAGAAAAGCCATTTTTATTTCAAGAAACTTCAGATCTTGTCTAATATTAATCTCCTTTAAGAATTTTTTCCTGATTATTTTTATCCATTATTTTTCTCTGTATGATGCAAGGATTCCTATTACAGTTTATAAAATGGCTTCAGACACTTATTTTTAAACTATCATTTATAACATTATCTGTATGATAAATTTCATTCCTAATTTTTCCTGTGATCACAAGGACAGAGAGTTATCTGGGTCTTTTTCAAGGCAAAGGGATTGAGGATGACAGGGACCTGCAAAGGGATTGAGGATGATAGGGAACTCAGTAACTTTAAAATGTTTCAACTCTTCAGAGCAACATAGAAAAAAGTATTTCTCTGTATAAGTTGATCACTTCTCATGTATTCCTTACTGGCAAGCAAAATGGAATTTTCAAACTGCAGGTCCAGGCTTATGATTCAAATTTCCTCAATGTTGATTTATAAGCGCTAAAAATGACTTAATTTTTAATTGAATTGAGACTTTTAATCTAATTGAGAAATTGGAAACTGAGTCTTCCTCTCTTGATTAAATAAAATGTTACTTTTCTATAGGTGAGTAGCATACATTATATTTGAAGGATTCTGAAATTTTATACATCAGATCTTATACTCTGACTTCATGCTTTTATTTACAGCCTCAAAAAATTAATTAATTTATTTAAACAAAGTTCTCACTCCAAAGTAAATTTCTGACAAGAGAAGTTGGAGGTGGGGGGAGAGAGAGCACTGATTAGGGAAAAACATTAAATTCAATAAAAAAGACTCAGATTCTCTAGGTTCTTGTATGGAAAAGAGGAACTATAAGACTAATTATGAAAGAAATTCAAATGTGAGTCAATAGTGTGGAAATCAAGCTAAAGACAAGAAAAATATTCATGAACTATGTTCAAGAAATATGAAGAACTTCCTCTACCATATTTAACATCATATAGGTGTTTTCACAAGACTCTTACTGATAGGCTTTACTATGCTTACCATGGTTTATAACGTGTTTATTTTTGCAGAGAACCAGAGTCACTCCACGAGTCCTGCCTGGGGCCCCATGAAAGTGGCCAACAATGTCACTGAGTTTATATTCCTGGGACTTTCCCAAGATTCTGGAATGCAATTGATGTTCTTTGTCTTATTTCTCCTCTTCTACGTCGTGATCATGGTGGGAAATTTGCTCATTTTGCTTATGGTCTTTTCTGACTCCCGACTACACACACCCATGTATTTCTTCCTCAGTAACCTGTCTTTTGTGGACATTGCCTATTCCTCAGCCACAGCACCCAAGATGATTGAAGACTTTGTTTCTGAGAAAAAGACTATTTCCTACTGGGGCTGTATAACTCAGATGTTTACCTTCCACTTTTTTGGTTGTGCTGAGATTTTTGTTTTGACTGTCATGGCTTTTGATCGCTATGCTGCTATCTGCCAATCCCTCCGTTACACTGTCATCATGAGTGCTAATGCTTATACTGTGCTGGCATCACTGTCCTGGTTGGGGGCCCTGGGTCATTCCTTTGTTCAGACCCTCCTGACCTTCCAGCTGCCCTTCTGTAATGCTCAGGTTATAGACCATTACTTTTGTGATGTCCACCCAGTCCTAAAACTTGCCTGTGCTGATACAACTCTGGTAAATATGTTGGTGGTTGCCAACAGTGGTCTCATCTCCCTGGGGTGTTTCCTCATTCTTTTGGCCTCCTACACAGTCATTCTGTTTAGTCTTCAAAAACAGTCTGCAGAGAGCTGACACAAAGTTCTCTCTACCTGTGGATCTCATCTGACTATAGTAACTTTCTTCTTTGTTCCGTGTATCTTTATTTATCTCCATCCACTACTTTCCCATTGGATAAAGCTGTGTCTGTGTTCTATACCACCATCACCCCAATGCTGAACCCACTCATCTATACTCTGAGGAATGAGGAGTAAAGAATGCCATGAGGTGGCTATGGAGTAGCAAGATCTCCTTGAAGGAAAAGCAGAGAGGATAGTTTGTCAGAATTGCAAAATCACTGAATTAGTGGATACCTTCAATGATCCCTAATTTACTAATAATTAAAAAAACAGTTCCTAAAATGCAGCTTTTATATTTTGTCTAACAGGAAATAATTTGAGGCTATTTTAGACGGGCTAAACTTAAACCTTTCCATACTTGGCAAGGTTTATTCTCTCTTCTAGAGTACAAGAGTTAACACTCCTACTCAATATCTCATTTAACCTCGTTAAATCCCTTCTATTCACATCAAACTCTCTTAAGCTACCATTCAGTAATTTAGAGTGGGGTTATAAGAGAAAGATATCCCTGATCATATCTTCTCACCATATCATGTCTCTTCAAAAAAGAGGTCTAATTTACCAGAAGCTGCACCTTTTCCCTCCTTCTTTTGTTTTCTTTTTCGTCCTTCTCTAGTCTTTTCTTATACATATTGCAAAATCTAGTCAGGGAAACAGATTTGCAAGGAGATAATTACAATACAATACAACAAATGCAGACATAGAAATACATACTTCCTATAATGAAGAGGGTTAGTATAAATCAACAAATTGCCCAAAGGATGGTTTCTGTGCAGGAAAAAAAAAAATAGAACTTTACATATTTTGAGGTGGACAGCAATTTCTTCAAAGACCCTCTTGGAGAATTTGAATACTCTTCTACCCATTACTATAATACTATCTTTACTGAAAGAAATCTTACTTTTTTGCCAATAAAAACAGACTAGATTAAAGCAACTAAAATGAGTTGGTATTTGTACCATTGAAATGACTAAGGAGATGTAATTCTATTATAAATTTTTAGTTGAACTTGTCTTCAGTTCCTTAAAACAACAAAATGGAATAAGCACATTTTCTTCTTGTGGTATTCTTAGTAAAGTTGAAAAATAGTTAAGTATTCTCAGTATTCTGGAAAAGGCATTTTTCTTCTAAGAAATTTTCTTAGATCTTGTCTCATGACTGATGTTGTTCAAGAATTCTGCCCTGATTATTTTTGTTCAACATTTATTTTCTATATGCCTTAAGCAATCCTGTATGCAATTTATAAAATATCACTTACCTTTTTCTCTTTTTTAGTGGATTTTTATCTGAGATCTACAACTTATGAAGAATACAAATGATGTATATTCTTTTCTACTCTTCATGTATGGACTAGAGGGGCTTGCACAGTAGGTACTTGTCAAAATCTGTTGATTGTAACTCCAATTTCTATTTTTTTCCTTAGTAATGGGGACCTGACATTATTCATGGTGGCCCAACTAAAATATTGCATTGACTTGCCTCAGGCTCTTTTAAAATTCAATTCAATAATTTAGAATGACCTTATAAGAAAAAGATATTCCTTTTGAAGCCCAGTGGACAATCTGATGTTAATAGTAGTTGGTTGGTGGGACTTTTGAAAAGTCTTTAAAATGGTTTGTCTACTCCAGCCCTCTCATACATGATCACCATTAACATTTTGATTATTAAAATTTCTTTATAGTTATTGCATGTCCTTATAGTTATTTTCATATTACTTTCCCTTTGCAAAAGGGTCATTCTATCCTTTTTTTAAACTCCTGATTTTTTAAGATAGACAACAAACCCACAAATTATATTAAAAATGATAGAATACATTAGGTTTCCTTTTCCCTCCTAAGAGCAAAGTATTAATAATAAAAATAACAACACTTGCAGTAAGAAAAAAATGGCTGAGACCCACAGGAACAAAGAAACAGGACAGGAGTTAGATGCAGAGAAGAGATTTCAACAAAAGTTTGGAAGAGGTAAGACAAAAAAGTAGTAACTGATTTGGCAGGGTCGGGAAGGCTAAGTCTAAACTCCCAACAAGAGGAATAGTGAGGAAAAGGGGAGAGATTCATTTCCTGGAATCCCTACGATGATTGGGATGCAGGATGCCAGGTCAGCGGGAGGTGAGGTTCAGGGCTGCTAATGAAGATTAAGAGAAAGGAACAGTTCAATCTTCTATCCTCTCTTTCTGCTCCCAGATGCTAACGGTAGCATCTGAGTCACAGACAGAACATTGGCACCTTTGTTTAAGAAACTGAATGTTAATGTCACATCTGCCTTTGGAGATTACAAATGAAATGGCTACCTTTCTACTGGAACCCTGACCAGAAGTCTGCCAGTTAGTAAGCTGGCTTAAGAGATCAATCTAAAATTTACATAAGGCTTTTGAAAAAAAGAAAAAAGTAAGTCTTTAAAAAAGCCAAAAGGAAACTGGTGGAATTAGAGGTAATTCGTGGGGGGGGGGGGGGGGACTGTAAAAAACTGTATCTTCTCATCAATGAAAGAAAATATTTGTAATCTTGAAATAAGAATATGATGTACTGAAAAAATATAGAAAAATTATTTTTGGAAGGTAAAATCAAAAAGAACAATAAACAAAATTAATATGGCATTAAAAGAAATAAAACAAGTAGTCAAAGAAGTCATAAAAGTACAGTCTCTATGAAAGTAGAATGAAAATGTCAAAGAAATAGAAAACATGAAAGATAAAAACAAGAAACACAAGGAATCAAGTTAGGGGCAAACCATTCAACTCACACATATTCCAGGAGGACAAATTAAACAGAAGGATGGATTTAAAAGAAACAATGAAAATAAATTTCTTAGAACAGAAAAGCTTAATTTTCTCGATATGAAAGATTTACTGAATGCCCACCACAAGATTTAAAAAAAATCCCAAGGCACGTTATTATGAAATTTTATCACCTTAACGATTGAAAATATTGTAAAATTATTAAGAAAAAACCATATAGCTCACGAATGAACAGAAATTCAAATGGCATGAGTATGCTCTGTAGCAAGCTCATCCTTAGAATACAGTGGAAAAGTTTCTCACACTGATTTTCAGGCTAGAATTCTATACAGAACAAATCTATCAGGAAGATAGAATAAAGCATATTTAATCATACAAAAATTTATAAAGTTTACTTCATAAGTACTCTCTTTTTTTGAAAGTGTGGGATAATATATCCCAGCAAAACAAGAGGAAGAAATGAGATCAATAAACTAATATATGCAATGCAGGGTGGCTAAAGCCACTTTAAAAAAAATCCCAATCTCTTTTTTCTTTCTTCATGTGAGTCAGGTAATGTATATATGTCATAAGGTTTGAGGGAGGTACATTTCACACAGGAGTGCAAAAACTCAGTCATCACGCTTATGAACTACGAAGGGATCAAAAGGCACTTTTAAGATGACAGATGTACAGTAGGCATAGGAGACAACAGAAATGGATGAAAGCAGAAGATGGAAGCCCTCCAGGTTCATAAAACAGAAAGGAGAGGGTGAAAATTTATATTATCTAATATATTGAAGCATCTTAGTTGTAAAGGTACAGTCAATAAGATGAAACAAGTTGATACACTCAAGGAAGGATACATTTATAGAAAATTATATCATTTAGAGTTCCAACAGGAAGTTAATGACACACTTAATATAGGATAATTTGATAAACATTTATTTAACGAGATGCTGTCTATGAATTTATAGGTATAGAGTACCACACAGGCCAGGGGTAAGATGGGGTGGAGCTGTTTACACCATTGTGCCTGAAGGGACTGAGAGAGGGAGGAAATACAGAAACCCCAAAAAGAGATATTTATGATAGCCATTTGAAAGGAGGAATGACCTTCAGTGGGAGGTCAACCAGCATGTGGCCACATGGTCTAGCTTATTCTCCTTCATTCCCCTTTTCCAGTTTTATTGAAGTATATTTGACAAATAAGAATCATACATATTTAAATGTGCAACTTGATGTTTTGAACTACGTGTACACTGTGAAATGATCATCACACTTAAGATAATTAACATATCCATTACCTCACAGGGTTATGTTTTTCTGTGTGTGGTGTGAACCCTTAAGATCTACTCCCTTAGTACATTTCAGTTGTCCAATACAGTATTGCATTGTAATACAGACACCATGTTGTGCATTAACTCTCCAGAACTCACTCATTTTTGCATAACTGAAACTTTGTAACCTTTAGTCCATTATCTCCTCATTTCTCCCTTTCCTTTCCACTCTTGGCAACCGCCATCCTACCTTCAGTTTGAGTATTTTAGATTCCACACATAAGTGAGATCATGCAGTATTTGTCCTTCTGTAAGTTGCTTTTTAAAGGCTGAATAATACTCCATTGCATATATATACTACAATTTTCTCAGGCTTTATTGAGGTATGATTTACAAATAAAATTTGCATATATTTAGGGTATATGCATACTTACGAAATGATTACCACAACCAAGCTAATTAATATATTCATCATGTTACATCATTACCATTTGTGTATAATGTGTGTATGTGTGTGTGTTAACACTTGAGATCTACTTTCTTAGCAAATTTGAAGCTACTGTACATTTGGTCTCCAGTACTTACTCATCTTGTAGCTGAAAGTTTGTACCCTTTGACCAACATCTTTTTCCTGGCATTTCCCAGCCCCTGCTAACCACCACTCTACTGTCCATTGCTATGAGTTTGATTTTTTAAAATATTGCACCTGTATGGGATATCATGTAGTATTTGTCGTTATGTATCTGGCTTATTGCACTTAGCATAATGTCCTCCAGGTTTATCCATGTGGCAAATGGCAGGATTTCCTTCTTTTTAAGGCTGAATAATCCATTGTGTGTGTTTGTACCACATTAAAAAAATCTATGCATCTGTAGATGAACACTTAGTTTGTTTCTATATCTTGGCTAGTGTTACAATGCTGCAGTGAATTTGAGAGTGCAGATATCTCTTTAAGATAGTGGTTTTATTTCTTTTGCATACATACCTAGAAGTGGGATTGCTGTTATTATATGAGAAGTTTATTTTTTTTTTGAGGAGCCTACATACTGTCTTCAATAATGGTTGCACTAATTTATATCTCTACCAAAAGTTTACAAGGGTTTTGTATTAGTCCGTTCTCACACTGCTAATAAAGACATATCTGAGACTAGGTAATTTATATAGGAAAGAGGTTTAACTGACCCACATTTCAGCATGGCTGGGAAGGCCTCAGGAAACTTATAGTCACAGTCATGGTGGAAGAGGAAGCAAACATGTCTTTCTTCACATGGTGGCAAGAGAGAGAAGACTGAGAACTGAGTAAAGGATAAAGCCCCAGGTAAAGTCATCAGATCTTGTAAGAACTTACTCACTATCACAAGAATAGCATGAGAAAACTGCCCCCATGATTCAATTACCTTTCACTGGGTCTCTCCCATGACATGTGAGGACTACGGGAACTATAATTCAAGATGGGATTTGGGTGGGGACACAGCCAAACCATATCAGGTTTCCTTTACATCCTTGCCAACACATGCTATCACTGGACTTTTTGATAAAAGGCAATCTAACAGGTGGTTGGTGATATCTCAGTGAGGTTTTGATTTGCCTTGATGATTTCTGATTTTGAGCATTTTTTCCATATACCTGTTGGCCATTTGTGTATCTTCTTTGGAAAAATATCTATTCAGATCCTTTGCCCATTTTATGAAATCATTTTAAAAATATCTTTTGCCCATTTAGAAGCTTGTTTGTTTGCTATTTGGTAGTATAAGTTCTGTATATATTTTGGATATTAACTCCTTATTGGATGTGTGGTATACAAATATTTTCTCCCTTTCTGTAGATTTCTCTTTCATCAAACAAATAAAGATGAGACCAATGTCCAGGAACTTTTCCCCATGTTTCCTCCTAGGAGTTTATGGGGCCGGGTCTTATGTTAAGTCTATAATCCACTTTGAATTAACTTTTGTGATTGGAATAAGAGAAGCACGGATTCTTTGCATGTGGATATCCAATTTCCCAACATCATTTATAGACGAGTCTGTCCTTTACATTGTATATTCTTGGTACCTTAGTTGAAAAAATTAGCTGACTGTAGGTATGTGAGTTTAGTTCTGAGCTTTCTATTCTGTTTTATTGGTATACATGTTTTTATGCCAGCAACATCTGTTTTGATTATTACAGTTTTGTAATGGAGTTGAAATCAGGAAGTTTAATACCTCTAGCTTTGAACTTATACTCAAGATTGCTTAAGCTTTTCATGCTCTTTTATGGTTGCATATGAATTTCAGAATTATTTTTTCCATTGCTGTGAAAAATGTTCATTGCCATTTTGATCGGGATTGCGTTGAATGTACAGATCATTTTCAGTAGTATGGACTTTTTAACAATATTAATTCTTCCAGTTCATGAATATGGGATATGTTTCACTTATTTTTGTCTTCCACAATTTATTTCATTAATCTTTTATACTTTTCAGTGTACAGATATTCTACCTCTTTAGTTAAATTTATTTGTAAGTATTTTATTCTTTTTGATGTGCTCATAATGATAACTTTTTCTTGACTTTTTCTTTCTATAGATCATTATTGGTGTAAAGAAATGCAACTGAATTTTTCTGTTGATTTTGTAGTCTGCAAAATTACTGAATTTGCTTATTAGTTCTAACAGTTTTTTAGTGGAGTCTTCAGGATTCTTTCTACATAGGATCATGCCATCTTCTAACAGAGACACTAACTTTTTTATTTGGATGCACTTTATTTCTTTTTCCTAATTACTTTGGTTATGACGTCCAGTACTATGTTGAATGGAAGTGGGGAGAGTGGTCTTGTTCTTGATCTTAGAGGGAAACATTTCAATTTCTCATCGAGTATAATGTTTATCATAGGCTTGTGATATACAGGCTTTATTGTGTTGAGGTACATTCCTATAATTTGTTGAAAATTTTGTATTGTGAAAGAATGTTGAATTTTGTCAAATGATTTTTCTGCATTTGTTTAGATGATCTCATGGTTTTTATTTCTTATTCTGTTAATGTGGTGTAGCACATTTGTTGATTGTGTATGTTGGATAATTCTTACATCCCAGGAATAAATCCTACTTTGTCGTGATGCAAAATCTTTTTAATGTCCTGGTATATTTGGTTTGCCAGTAGTTTGTTGAGGATTGTTGGACCTTTGTTCACAAGGGACATTGGCCTATAATCTATATTTCTTGTTGGTGTCCTTATCTGGGTTTGGTATGAAGGCAGCGTTGGCATTGTAAAATGAGTTTTAAAATATCCCCTCCTCTTCAACTTTTTGGAAGGATTTTAGAAGGATAGGTATTAGTTCTTTTCAAAATATTTGGTAGAATTCAACTATGAAGCCATCAGGTCCTAGGATTTTCTTTGATAGGAGATTTTATTATTGATTCAATCTCCTTACTCATTACTGTTAAGATTTTCTAGCTCTTCATGATTCAGTCTTGTAGGCTGTATGTGTCTAGGAATTTATCCATTTCTTCTAGGCTATCCAATCTTTTGACTTGTAATGGTTCATAGTATTATCTTATGATTCTTTATATTTTTTGTAGCATCAGTTGTAATGTTTCCTTTTTCATTTTGGCTTTTATTTATTTAAGTCTATTTTTTCTCAGTGTAGATCAAGTATTGTTGATTTTACTTATATTTCCAAAAATCAATCTTAGTTTCATGATCTTTTCTACTGTTTCTCTAGTCTCACTTTCATTGATTTCTTTTCTAATCTTTGTTATGTCCTTTTTTTCTAACTTTAGGCTTAGTTTGTTCTTTTTTTAGTTCATTGAGCTGTAATGTTAGGTTGTTAATTTGAGACCTTTCGTCTTTTTTTTGTAAACATTTATTACTATACATTTCTCCCTTAAAACTACTTTTGCTGCATCCCATACCTTTTTGTATGTCATGTCCATTTTCATGTGTCTCAAGATATTTTTACATTTACCTTTTGACTTCTTTTTTTGGCCCATTGGTGGTTGTTTAATTTCCATATGTACATGAATTTTCCAGTTTTCCTGTTATTATTGATTTTAGTTTCATACCACTATGGTCAGAAAATATATTTGATATGATTTCAGTCTTCTGAAATTTGTTAAGACTTGTTTGTGGCTTAACATACAATCTGTCCAGGAGAATATTCTGTGTAAGCTTGAGAAGAATGTGTGTTCTGCTGTTGGATCAAATATTCCGTGTATGTCTATTAGATTCATTTAGTCTGAAGTAGTTCAAGACAATGTTTTCTTAATAATATTCTTTCTGGATGATTTATCCATTGTTGAAAATCAGATATTAAAGTTCTCTATTAATATTGCATTGCAGTCTATCTCTTGCTTTAGATTTGTTAATATTTGCTTTATATATTTAGGTGCTCTGATGTTGGGTGTATTCATATTTATAACTGTTCTATTATCTTGATGAATTGACTTTCTTACCAATATCTAATGACCTTCTTTGTCTCTTGTGACAGTATTTAAAGTCTATTTTGTGTGATACACATGTAACTGCTACTGCTCTTTTTTGGTTTTCATTTTCATGGAATATTTTTGTTTTTTATCCCTTTACTTTTAGTCTATGTGTGTTATTAAAGGTGAAGTGAGTTTCTTGTAGGCAGCATTTAGTTGGATCTTATTTTTATAAATCAATTCAGCCACTTTTTGTCTTTTGATTGACAAAATTTGCTTATTTATAGTTGGTAAGTAAAGATTTATTATTGTCAATTTATTGTTTTCTGGTTGCTTTGTAGGTCCTTTATTCCTTTATTACTCCTTTGTTGTTTTCCTTTGTGATTTGATCATTTTCCTCGGTGGTATGCTTTGATTCTTTTCTGTTTATCTTTTGTGTATTTACTATAGGTTTTTAATTTGTGGTTGCCATGAGGCTTACATAAATATTCTTATTGTTTTACCAATTCACTTAAAGACGATAACATCTTCACTTTGATTGCTAAAGAAGCTCTGTACTTTTACTTCCCTTCTCTTACATTGTGCTTTTGATGTTACAGTTTACATTTTTTATATGTCTTAAGAATTTATTATAGCTATAGTCATTTTTCATACATTCATCTTATAACTTTATAATGATGTTGTGATTTACACCACCACCATTATGGTGCTTGAATATTCTAAATTTAACCATATATATACTTTACCAGTTAGTTTTATATTTTTATATGTTTTAATGTTACTAATTAGCTGCCTTTTATTTAATCTTAAAAATCCCCCTTTAGCATTTCTTGTAAGGCAAGCAATAGTGAAGACTCACTCAACTTTTCTTTTTTTTTTTCTAAAAAAGTCTTTATCTTCTTCATTTCTGAAGGACAGCTTTGCTGGCAAAATATTGCTGGTTGGCAGTTTTATTTTTCTTCCATTGCTTTGAATATATTATTTCATTCTCTCCTGATCCTCAAGGTTCCTGCTGAGAAATCCACTGATAGCTTTATTTGGGTCCTTTTTTATATGACATGATTCTTTTCTCTTGCTGCTTACAAGCTTCTCTCTTTGTTTTTGATTTTTGCCAGGTTGATGATAATGTATGTTTGTGGATTCTTTTTTTGGTTGAATTGACTGGAGAACTTTAGGCTTCATGCATCTGGATGCTCATTTCTTTCCTGACATTTGCTAAGTTTCCTATGATTATTTCCTTAAATAAGCTTTCTATCTAATGCTCTCTCTATTTTTCTTCTGAACCTACTATAATTCTAATGTTAGCTCTCTTGATAGTATTCCATGGCTTCTGTAGGTTTTATTCTTTTTTTTCTTTTATCTCCACTTACTGGATGATTTAAAATGCTCGGTCTTTGAGTTCACTTATTTTTTTATTCTGCTTCACTTAGTCTGATGTTCAAGCCTCTATTACATTTTTTTAGTTTAGCTGTTGTATTTTTCAGCTCCAACATTTCTGTTTGGTTCTTTTTAAAATATTTTCTGTCTCTTTATTGAGCTTCTCATTTTGTTCTTGGATTGTCTTCCTGATTTCATTAAACTATTTATTTGTGTTCTCTTGTAGTTCCCCAAGATTCCTTAGGCAATTATTTTGATTTTTTCCAGGCAATTTATAGATCTCCAATTCTTTGGGGTTGGTTACTAGAAATTAATTTTGTTCCTTTGGTGGTGTCATGTTTTCCTGCTTCTTTGTGATCTTTGGGTGTTGATTTTGTCAGTGACTAAACCTGCTGGAGTCCTCTGTGGAGTTAAATACTATAGTTTGTGCAATGATAATTGTGGGTTCCTTGGTAGTAAAAGCAGTGTGGTATGTGCAGCTGATAATGACAGGAGACAGACAGATTCCTAGGCAGACAGGGATAAGTCCCTGGTGAATCCCAACCTTCAAGCCAAAGACAACCTGAGGCCTGAAAACCAAGCCGCCAGTTCCAGGTGGAGTCCACGACCCAACTGAGAACTTCCTCAGTGCCTTTTAGTCAATTAAATGGTGCTTTTTCCAGGCCTGCCCATGAACCAATCAGCACAGATTCCTCCATTCTGAGCCCATAAAAACCCCAGACTCAGCCTCACAGATGGCTCTCTGCTTTCAGCCCCACTCTTACACAGAGGGCTGCCCACTTTGGCTACTCTCTTGTTGTCAAGAGCTTTTCTGCTGCTCAATAAAAATCTCATCAGCCTTGCTCACTCTGCGGTGTCTGCATGCTTCATTCCTGTTGGTTGCAGGACAAGAATCCAGGATCCACTGAACAGTGGGTGCGAAAAGAGCTGTAAGATACACCTCCTGTTCACCAAGCTACAGAAGTGAAAAAAAAATGCTGGGTGCCACAAGTCCCCAATTGCTGAGCTGTGGGCAGCAGGACTGAATGAGCTGTGACACATCCCCATTTGCTGAAACTGCCAGCAGTGAGAACGAACAAGAGCTGTAACACTTCCTGGGGGCTCAGACCTTGACTCCCAGAGCAAAAGCTGTAACACCTCTTCGGGCTCCACAGTTGCTGGCATCTCTGAGTTTTTGGGCACTGCTGCATCCCCCTTATCCAGATGCCAGCGCTCAAGGCAGAAGTCAGTCATAGCATGCCCAAACCAACCGTGGGCTGAGCACTGAGCTACGGTGGGTGTCATGGCATCTGGGTGAGTGAGCATGAGTGGAGCACAGCCTGCCAGGCCAAATGAGCAGGACGAGCTCAGAGGGCCTGAGTGAAGCCTCAGCAGAGGCTCTGCTGGCCATCGAGATTTCCACTTGGCAAAGTGGCCCTCAAAGAATCCTGTGTCACATCCATGAGGGCTGTTGAGGTCCTTGGTATAGAAGGCTACCAGAATTCCGCTCAGATCAGGCTACTGGGGACTGCATTGATTCCTACCACAGGACTGATACTGATAGACCTCATCATTTCTCTTTCTTACCAGCAGTTTACAGATTTCTCTCCTATGTTGGTCTCCCTAGCAATCTGGGATGGGTGAAACTTAAGCTGGTTGTTTGGGCAATGCTCCAGTAGGCTGGGTAAGATGGTTCACTCCACTCTCCTTTTCTCTGCAAGGGGAACTTGCAAGCTGAGCAGTGACCTCTCCATACTGAGCACTGCCAGCCTGAGGAAGATGACGCAGGCAAAATGAAACTGTTTTTTCTACCATTTTTTTGTGTTTTTTCTTGAAGTTTTTCTGTCTGCTCTGTTGTTTTAACTTCTGAAGTAGATTCCTGATCTCTGCTAGATATTTTCATTTGTGGATATTTACCCAGTTGTTGTTCCTTTAGGAGGAATAAAGACTGAGATCACCTACTCTGCCATTCTAGCTGATGTCTAACACATTTTCTTTGTTCATCTGTCTATGGACTTTTAGGCTGTTTCCATATCTTGGCTTTTGTGAATAATGCTGTAGTAAACATGGGTGTGAAGGTATCTCTTTGAGGTTCTGATTTCAATTCTTTTGGACATATTCCTAAAAGTGGGATTGCTGAATCATATAATAATTTTGTTTTTAATGTTTTGAGGAACTGACACATTATTTTTCATAGTGACTGCACCATTTTCTATTTCCACCAAAAGTGTATAGGAGTTTCAATTCCCTAAATTCTAGCCAACACTTCTTTTGTTTTTTGATAATAGCCATGCTAATAGGCATGAGGCAATATCTCATTGGTGTTTGGATATGCATTTCCTTAACAACTAGTGATGCTGAACATATTTGCTTATACCTGTTGGCCATTTGTGTATTTCCTCTGAGAAATGTCTTCAAGTTTTTCACCCACTTTGAAATTGCATTATTATCATTATTATTTTTGCCATAGTATGACTGATTTTTAAGTGCTTCTTATATAATGGAGTTATTTCAATTTATTTTTTTCTGTTCATTATTTGCCTGTTAAATTTGTCTTTATTTTCTAGTAATTTTAAATTGTTTTAATTTCTAACATTTTCCCCTATATTTGTGTTTGCCATTGATAAATTTTAAATTTCATTATCAAATATGCTATAACTCTTTTCTTATTGTTTTTCCTTCATAGGGGCAGGATATACTTAAAAGTTTTTATTTATTCCAAAATAATTTAAATAGTCTCTCTATGTTTCTAGTAATTAAAAAAATTACTCCTTTGCAATTTATGTTAAGTATAAGTTATAAAATATAATTCTTTTAAAAAATCTGGTTAACCAGTTGTTCCAGCACAACTTATTGTGTCCTCTGGGACAATAGAATTGAAAATGCACGTCATACTCTAGAGAGCACATATTGTACATCGTAGCATTTTCCACCCCTAATCCTGGGAAATTCGCCATTTTTCTTACTTCTTCTGTGAAACTCAAAAGTTGTGTTTCTGTGCTCTTTGGATGAAGTGCAAATCAACTTTTAAATTATTCCCTCAGGGCTTATGTTCCTACCTGGCTTCTCCTGGCCTCCAGAGGATTGATTTTTGTAGTTACAGCTCATGCTGCTAGTTAGTTTACTGTTACATCAGGGCAGAAACTGATGCATACCAACATGTACCCAGGATAAAGTCCTCCACTGCGGGTGGTGGAAGAGGCTTCTTCTACCTCCTCCCCATAGTTCCTGAAGGCACCAAGACTGTCACAGTAATTGGTAGGTGGAATGTTGTTATAACATTTACATAAACCATCCTATTTTTGAGACAGTAGGACAGATAATAATGATGGGAATAACTATGTAAAATGCTCAGAGATCAGTGGTAAGAAACAGAAAGCAGCATGTAAGGAAATGTCTTAGGGAACTGTGATGATAGTATAGAGTAGGTTTTAGCTGTGGAGTGGGTGGACAAATTGTTTCTTTTCAGCCTTGGTCTCAATAATTAAAGCATTTTAAAGTCAGGGTTGAGCAGGGCATTGAAGAGACAGCTTCATCATTTTATACTCATAGGATGAATCATTTCTAAGCAAGCTCAGAGAAGGCTGTTTTGATTTATGGGTCTTCAGAGCGTGACAGATTATTAAAATAAACGTCCAAAATTTTGAATCCTTTTACTCCTGGAAGAAAGACAGGAAAACCCCAAGATCTTTAGTTACTTCTTTTTATTTTTATTTTATTTTATTTTTTTATACTTTAAGTTTTAGGGTACATGTGCACATTGTGCAGGTTAGTTACATATGTATACATGTGCCATGCTGGTGCCCTGCACCCACTAACTCGTCATCTAGCATTAGGTATATCTCCCAGTGCTATCCCTCCCCCCTCCCCCCACCCCACCACAGTCCCCAGAGTGTGATATTCCCCTTCCTGTGTCCATGTGATCTCATTGTTCAATTCCCACCTATGAGTGAGAATATGCGGTGTTTGCTTTTTTGTTCTTGCGATAGTTTACTGAGAATGATGATTTCCAGTTTCATCCATGTCCCTACAAAGGATATGAACTCATCATTTTTTGTGGCTGCATAGTATTCTATGGTGTATATGTACCACATTTTCTTAATCCAGTCTATCATTGTTGGACATTTGGGTTGGTTCCAAGTCTTTGCTATTGTGAATAATGCCGCAATAAACATACGTGTGCATGTGTCTTTATAGCAGCATAATTTATAGTCATTTGGGTATATACCCAGTAATGGGATGGCTGGGTCAAATGGTATTTCTAGTTCTAGATCCCTGAGGAATCGCCACACTGACTTCCACAATGGATGAACTAGTTTACAGTCCCACCAACAGTGTAAAAGTGTTCCTATTTCTCCACATCCTCTCCAGCACCTGTTGTTTCCTGACTTTTTAATGATTGCCATTCTAACTGGTGTGAGATGGTATCTCATTGTGGTTTTGATTTGCATTTCTCTGATGGCCAGTGATGATGAGCATTTTTTCATGTGTTTTTTGGCTGCATAAATGTCTTCTTTTGAGAAGTGTCTGTTCATGTCCTTCGCCCACTTTTTGATGGGGTTGTTTGTTTTTTTCTTGTAAATTTGTTTGAGTTCATTGTAGATTCTGGATATTAGCCCTTTGTCAGATGAGTAGGTTGCAAAAATTTTCTCCCATTTTGTAGGTTGCCTGTTCATTCTGATGGTAGTTTCTTTTGCTGTGCAGAAGCTCTTTAGTTTAATTAGATCCCATTTGTCAATTTTGGCTTTTGTTGCCATTGCTTTTGGTGTTTTGGACATGAAGTCCTTGCCCATGCCTATGTCCTGAATGGTAATGCCTAGGTTTTCTTCTAGGGTTTTTATGGTTTTAGGTCTAACGTTTAAATCTTTAATCCATCTTGAATTGATTTTTGTATAAGGTGTAAGGAAGGGATCCAGTTTCAGCTTCCTACATATGGCTAGCCAGTTTTCCCAGCACCATTTATTAAATAGGGAATCCTTTCCCCATTGCTTGTTTTTCTCAGGTTTGTCAAAGATCAGATAGTTGTAGGTACGCGGCATTATTTCTGAGGGCTCTGTTCTGTTCCATTGATCTATATCTCTGTTTTGGTACCAATACCATGCTGTTTTGGTTACTGTAGCCTTGTAGCATAGTTTGAAGTCAGGTAGTGTGATGCCTCCAGCTTTGTTCTTTTGGCTTAGGATTGACTTGGCAATGCGGGCTCTTTTTTGGTTCCATATGAACTTTATAGTTTTTTCCAATTCTGTGAAGAAAGTCATTGGTAGCTTGATGGGGATGGCATTGAATCTGTAAATTACCTTGGGCAGTATGGCCATTTTCACGATATTGATTCTTCCTACCCATGAGCATGAAATGTTCTTCCATTTGTTTGTATCCTCTTTTATTTCCTTGAGCAGTGGTTTGTAGTTCTCCTTGAAGAGGTCCTTCACATCCCTTGTAAGTTGGATTCCTAGGTATTTTATTCTCTTTGAAGCAATTGTGAATGGGAGTTCACTCATGATTTGGCTCTCTGTTTGTCTGTTGTTGGTGTATAAGAATGCTTGTGATTTTTGTACATTGATTTTGTATCCTGAGACTTTGCTGAAGTTGCTTATCAGCTTAAGGAGATTTTGGGCTGAGACAATGGGGTTTTCTAGATATACAATCATGTCGTCTGCAAACAGGGACAATTTGACTTCCTCTTTTCCTAATTGGATACCCTTTATTTCCTTCTCTTGCCTAATTGCCCTGGCCAGAACTTCCAACACTATGTTGAATAGGAGTGGTGAGAGAGGGCATCCCTGTCTTGTGCCAGTTTTCAAAGGGAATGCTTCCAGTTTTTGCCCATTCAGTATGATATTGGCTGTGGGTTTGTCATAGATAGCTCTTATTATTTTGAAATACGTCCCATCAATACCTAATTTCTTGAGAGTTTTTAGCATGAAGGGTTGTTGAATTTTGTCAAAGGCTTTTTCTGCATCTATTGAGATAATCATGTGGTTTTTGTCTTTGGTTCTGTTTATATGCTGGATTACATTTATTGATTTGCGTATACTGAACCAGCCTTGCATCCCAGGGATGAAGCCCCCTTGATCATGGTGGATAAGCTTTTTGATGTGCTGCTGGATTCGGTTTGCCAGTATTTTATTGAGGATTTTTGCCTCAATGTTCATCAAGGATATTGGTCTAAAATTCTCTTTTTTGGTTGTGTCTCTGCCCGGCTTTGGTATCAGAATGATGCTGGCCTCATAAAATGAGTTAGGAAGGATTCCCTCTTTTTCTATTGATTGGAATAGTTTCAGAAGGAATGGTACCAGTTCTTCCTTGTACCTCTGGTAGAATTCGGCTGTGAATCCATCTGGTCCTGGACTCTTTTTGGTTGGTAAGCTATTGATTATTGCCACAATTTCAGCTCCTGTTGTTGGTCTATTCAGAGATTCAACTTCTTCCTGGTTTAGTCTTGGGAGAGTGTATGTGTCGAGGAATTTATCCATTTCTTCTAGATTTTCTAGTTTATTTGCGTAGAGGTGTTTGTAGTATTCTCTGATGGTAGTTTGTATGTCTGTGGGATCGGTGGTGATATCCCCTTTATCATTTTTTATTGTGTCTATTTGATTCTTCTCTCTTTTTTTCTTTATTAGTCTTGCTAGCGGTCTATCAATTTTGTTGATCCTTTCAAAAAACCAGCTCCTGGATTCGTTGATTTTTTGAAGGGTTTTTTGTGTCTCTATTTCCTTCAGTTCTGCTCTGATTTTAGTTATTTCTTGCCTTCTGCTAGCTTTTGAATGTGTTTGCTCTTGCTTTTCTAGTTCTTTTAATTGTGATGTTAGGGTGTCAATTTTGGATCTTTCCTGCTTTCTCTTGTGGGCATTTAGTGCTATAAATTTCCCTCTACACACTGCTTTGAATGCGTCCCAGAGATTCTGGTATGTTGTGTCTTTGTTCTCGTTGGTTTCAAAGAACATCTTTATTTCTGCCTTCATTTCGTTATGTACCCAGTAGTCATTCAGGAGCAGGTTGTTCAGTTTCCATGTAGTTGAGTGGCTTTGAGTGAGATTCTTAATCCTGAGTTCTAGTTTGATTGCACTGTGGTCTGAGAGATAGTTTGTTATAATTTCTGTTCTTTTACATTTGCTGAGGAGAGCTTTACTTCCAACTATGTGGTCAATTTTGGAATAGGCATGGTAGTTACTTCTTATAGTTCTTCAGGATGATCTCTGTGAAGAGGAAGGGAAAGGTGAGGCTTGAAATATTTCATTTCAAAGGGATTAGTGTTAGTAGTAGCAAAAACTTTGAAAATAAATAGAAAAGCAAAAAAGAAACTTAAAAGCAAAGAGACTCTTACTTGAAATAAATGTGGGTGAAATATGTATTTTAACAAAAAGGATTCCAAAAAGCAAAATTAGGAATTATGTAGCAGAGTAGGGAAAGAAGAAATGAATTAATAAAAACAATTAGATGTTGTGGTGTTTAATTTTTGTCAAAGTCTACTGATCTATTTATTCAATAAAAAATCCATGTAATCATCCCATCCATCCATCCATTTAACAAACACATATTGAAGACCATAACATGCTAGGAACTACTTTAGGCAGTAGATATATAAATGAGACATACTCCATGACCTCAAGGAGCTCAGAGTTCCTGTTATATTTTGCAAAATACAAACTGAAAAATTACAATGTAATGAGTTAAAATTTGTACTGGGGGTGTAAACAGTACTATTATGGGAGCCATAAAAATATGACATTTTTATGGAACTTATATATACAAAATTCATACAAAATTTCAGGCATTTTAGAAAACAAGCTTCTGAGAATAGCTGAAGGATTTAAAAATAGTGATACATCAACAATGTAACAGGACTGTGGGTCTGGGAAAAATGTGGGGAGCATTATATGCATTAATCACTACAATACCTGTGAAGTAGGTACTGTTATTATTTCCATTGCACTAATGAGGCACACTGAGGCAGAGGTAAGTGAGTTGCCCAGGATTACACAGCTAGTAAGTGCTTAGCTGTGGTTAGAATGAAGGCACTGAGAAATAAAATAAAAATGAAACCCTTAGCTCCCCAAGCTACTGAATGGACCCTCTCTTGGCCAAGGGCACCCCAGAGTAACCTTAAAAGCTGAGTTTTCATCCATGACAAGATGGGCGGTCAGAGGTGCCTTCTTACATCCCCGCCCTCACTTAACTACCATTAGACTTTCCTACCTAAGTGCTAAATAGAAACCAGCTCTTTTGAAAGACTCCACTGCTGATATCAACAAATCACTGAAGCAGTTCCTCTTTTTTTGTGGTTTTAACATGGCAATTAACCAGCATTCCTTCCTGATAAGAGACCAACTATATGCTACTCATGAAGGGGCATGAAGCACAATTGTGCATGTGCATGGTTGTCCTTTCATAAATATTCAAGATTCCTCCTATAGCTTATTGAGCATATGTATTTGGCCACCTCACTCAGTACATATTCCTTTTGTCACTGTCTCGAAATATTTGTTTCTGGCTCCTGGCCAGAGGCTATATTTCCCAGCCTGTCATAATAGCCACCCTTCAGGCTACAACTCTATGAGAAATAAAGGTCCTCCTTTCCAAATTTATGAACCCCATCATTCTTCAGTTGATAGCACTGACACCCCATATCTAAGTATATTAAAAGAGAAATAAGCTGCAAATATATATAATATATAAATATGTAATATATGTAAATATATGATATATACATATTTATATATAATTTATATTATATATAAAATATATTTTAATATACTTTAATATATTCAAGTAAATTAAAAGAATATATTAATAGTTGTATATAAAATAAGTATTTTAATATACTTTAATGTTAATGTATATACTATATATTTTAATATAATTTAATAACATTAAAGTGTATTATTAAATATAATAATATATTAAAGTATATTAAAAGAGAAATAAGCAGCAAATGATCTTCAAAATAGTCTCATTGAGATCAGCCCTTCTCTTATCCTAATGGTTTCTTCTTGCCTAGTTTACTGTGGGCAACAATGCATACAGAAAATCAATGTAATAACTACATCTTGATATTTTCTGCTACTGGTTTATTTATGACACTCGAGGTCCCTTGGCTACCTATACCCATCTATATGGTGAAGATGCTTCTGTATACTCCTTCCTCACCATCCCACAGAATAAGTGAGCTCCATATCCTAAAAATAGGAAAATTAATTTTCATTCTTTCTAAGTGTTGTATATATCCACAATGGTGATGATATCACTGTTTCTCCCTATTGCTACCCAAATCATTCTTAATTTACCTTTCTGAGAATTTTACTCTCAACCTACTTTTACTTTAACGGAATCATAGGATTTTAGAGGTAGAACATTTCTTAAAATTCTAGTTAAAATCCCTCCTTTTGCTATGAAGAAACTGTCATAGAGGAAGATCTCACGACCTCAACATCACGCAGATTCTTGTTTTCTCCCAAAGCATTGCTTCTCTTGAGAAGATTTCACAGTTCACTCACCGACAGGGAATGCACCTGTACTCCTAGGTATTTCCATAGTCATCCTCTAGGTACTACATCCCTGTAGATTAAGAATGGGAATTTTCTAGATGTTGTTAAAAGAGGAGCAGAAGCTTAGGAGGAGTAGGTGGGTGGATGTAAGATGAAGTAAATCTTCTTAAGGAACTTATCCAACCACTGCTCTAAGAGTAAGGACTGATTTGGAATAGTCATCCCCTCCTCAATGGCAACCTTAGAAAAAAATGCCCTAAGTCAATCTTCATGAGTGGCTTATCTCCCCCAAGAATTTCCCATAAACATAATTGCTTGCTTTGGGTTTTTTTGGTACAATTCCCAGCTTTTCTTGGGGTGTTACAGTGCATACCCAAGTATGTATAGTTTATTTAGCCCAATTTTATTAAGGACGTGGTATGGGCTGGATGAACCTCATTTTAGACACAGAAGATAGGAAAACAATATTTTTAAATTGCCATTGTGGAGTTCAAATTCCAGCTGCCTTTGGTACTATGACAATAGCAACATATGATCCATTGATAAACCCTGGAGTTGCATCTCCTAAATATTTTCTAAACAAATTATTATTCTCTTCAAATAGTTATTGCTGTATTGTTAGTTTAAGCCATATATATATATATATATATATATATATATATATATATATATATATATTCTTGTAATGTTGTCTTACTCTGATTTATTCACATAGCAGCCAGGGTGATATTTCTAAATTGCAAATTGTATTAAGCTATTCTACCGAGTTTTATTGTAAAACATATTGAAAGAAAATTGGAAATCCAATTTTATTATTGTGGGCTACATTACTTGGTCTTTGACTAACTCTTTATTTTGTTCTTATGCTTCTACCAGTTGTGGGTCTTCTACAGTTCTTAGAAAGTCTTTCGTGACACAAGGCCTTTTCATTTACTATTCTCTATTCCTAAAATGCTTTTCTTCAAACTTTCAAAGTTAGAAAAACGTCACCAACTCAGAACCTTTTCTAAAATACTCCATCACACACATACCACTCCCATCATTATTTACTCTACCATTGCCTTTTTATTTCCTGCTTGTCTTTTAGCACTAGTAGCAATTATTTTATTTTACTTATTTATATTTTATTTTATTTTTATTTGTTTACTTGTTTATTGTCTGTCTATATTTTCAGAATGGAAGTTTGATGAGGCAGATATTGAGTGTTCCTTGTTCATTGTTGTGTCTCAGCAGGTAGCATATGGTAGATACTCTCTAAATGTTTGCGGGATAAACAAATGAATAGTTTACAGAAGTGACACAGAAGCTATATATTTAGGAATAGACTTTTTAATATCACATGTAGATAGCTTTGTTTTGACATGTGTTAAATGACAAGTGCTGGACAGAATAAGAATTGTTGCGTCATTTATGGTATTTTAGGTAATGGTTATGTTAATGTAGGGAAACTAGGTGCTTGTTCTTCCTTGAAGTGACATGGTGTAGTGGTGTGTGTGTGTGTGTGTGTGTGTGTGTGTGTGTGTGTGTGTGTTTGTGTGTGTGATGAGTAGTGGCTGAGCATTACTAGCTTTGGGAGTAGGGGGTTTGATTGGCTGCCTGACTATTGGATTGAGATGCTCCAGCAAAATATTTCTTTTCCACTTGACACTTGTGAAGGGTGGAGGACAGAGACACTCATCAAGGAGTGTGGAGGGATGAATCCTTTGTATTTTTGTCCTAAGGAATAAATGTGGTTGATTTTGGTTCTTAATGCAAAGTATATACATCATTAGTTTCTAATTTTATGTCATATGTTGAACACTGAGGTACAAAAGAAAATCTCTTTGACACTTTTTTCTGGTAAAATCACCCTTTCTATTCCATAATACCTGATGTATGTCTGTCTTTTCAAGACATCAACACTCATTCACCCAAATTCTTTCTAGATTAGTGCCATTTTCTACTTCTGTTTTGGTGGAATGGGTATGGAGTAAAGCAGAGGAAGAAGGGGTGATTTGTGTGACGACACTCAGAATCATTGCATCATGTCCCCATAATAATAAAAAAGCATATGATCTTGTAATGGTATTTACTGCTTTAAAATATTCATCTCCTTTCAATAATAAAGGGACAATTATTTACTTAGGAACAAATAATCGCCTCCATCTGGTCAAAAACTACATAGCATAATAGCAAAATATGTAAATGAGCTGAGTAATCATAATATTTCAGATGCTTTTGTTAGAAATTTATTTGATTGTTGGAACCTCATAGTTGACTTATCAGTGAATGTAAATGAGTTAGTATATAACTAGCTCATAGCCCTCATAACTAATAACACAATGTTGTGTTATTAGTTATGAGGGCTATGAGCTGCCTCCTCCAGGTAAGTACAATAAGATCATTGTTTCTTGGAATGTTAGGAAATATTTCATTCTGGATAACCTTATTATCTTTCTTTTGATTAAAATCTTCCTAAACCAAATTTTAAATTTTTCAATCTTATTAAATATGCTTCATTAACTCACTGAGGTCCACACTGGGCAATTTATGGACAAGGGGAAATTGATCCCTTTTCTAAATAGTCCCACACTATTCAATTTCTGAGTATTTTTACCTTTCTTCCGCTTGCTACCAGATTCCTGGAAAACACTGGTTTTATGTGTGTGTGTCTGCTTGTAGTAAGCCATCCCTTTTTCAAAATACAATGCTTCTATAAGATATTGAAAGTCATTTATCTATGTTTGTTAAAATTATGTATAAATTGAGTCAGTAGGTTCCAAAAATGGCGCATTTAATTTCTTTTCTCAGTAGTATACGTAGTGCCCATAAGTGTTTGGACACAGCCACATCTATTTGGTTTTACAGAACCTTAACTTTTTAAAAATTCCTTTTCATATTTAATTTTTTTAAGTAATAGGAGAGGCAATATCATAAAATATCACATCAACAGAAAAGAAACAACTCTCTTGTATTTGCTGTTGGTTACAACAAAACTTACTTTGGTGTGGCAGTTTTTAACCTTACTTAAAGAAAAGCATATTTGGTAATGTGAACTGTTATTTCATTTTTATTTGACAAGTTTTGTGCTACTTAGTGGTGTCAGATTCAATACAGGGCAGTAAGCAAAATTTTAAAAATAATATTATTCCCATTGTCACCTTGAAACAGCAGAGCAGATCAGCTCAGAATCAAATTGGGTAGCAAGCATACTCATTTCTCAGATCAGTACACCTACTTACGTTCCTGCTGTGGTGAGCAAATTTTATACTCAATGTAGTATCAGGTATTGATGAATCTGGTCACAGCTAGAAGAATTTTTTATATAGGGCCTTGCATAGCTGTATGTTGTGGCTGGTTACCTGTTACCAAGGATTAAGCTGTACAGGTTTTGGTTACAGTTATGGAAAAATATGTCCCTTCACTACTTATGAAGCCTTGGGATCTCTTTTCTGTATCACAACTAAAGTACTGCTAGATCTGTGTGTGTGCTATTAGAATGCAAGCCTAAGTTTCCAGGTTGGCAAGATTTCCCAACAAAAAAAAAGATATAGAAAAAAGAGGCCACATCTCTGATTGCCAGTCTAAAATTTGGCTACACTCAGAAGTAGCTTCACATATTGCTTACTAATGTAGATGTTTGGGGGAAGAAGTAGTGCATTGCCAAATTTCAGAAAAAGTAAGTTTTTAACATTAACAAGCTGAGATTTGAGTTTCAAATATATGCCACACTTCATATAGTTTTAATGTTTCCAATTTATAACTTCATCACATACTCTCTCCCTCTTGGTTTATCAGATATAAAATGGGCAACCAAATGTATCCTCGTGTAATCTGTTAGTGACAGGGAACGTATGACAATTTTGAAAGCAGTGATATAACTCTAGGTAAATGCTATGTCTACTAATTATAGTTTCTTAATTTTCATAGCTATATTATGAAAAGAGTAAATTGAAGAAATGGAAACTGCAAATTACACCAAGGTGACAGAATTTGTTCTCACTGGCCTATCCCAGACTCCAGAGGTCCAACTAGTCCTATTTGTTATATTTCTATCCTTCTATTTGTTCATCCTACCAGGAAATATCCTTATCATTTGCACCATCAGTCTAGACCCTCATCTGACCTCTCCTATGTATTTCCTGTTGGCTAATCTGGCCTTCCTTGATATTTGGTACTCTTCCATTACAGCCCCTGAAATGCTCATAGACTTCTTTGTGGAGAGGAAGATAATTTCTTTTGATGGATGCATTGCACAGCTCTTCTTCTTACACTTTGCTGGGGCTTCGGAGATGTTCTTGCTCACAGTGATGGCCTTTGACCTCTACACTGCTATCTGCCGACCCCTCCACTATGCTACCATCATGAATCAACGTCTCTGCTGTATCCTGGTGGCTCTCTCCTGGAGGGGGGGCTTCATTCATTCTATCATACAGGTGGCTCTCATTGTTCGACTTCCTTTCTGTGGGCCCAATGAGTTAGACAGTTACTTCTGTGACATCACACAGGTTGTCCGGATTGCCTGTGCCAACACCTTCCCAGAGGAGTTAGTGATGATCTGTAGTAGTGGTCTGATCTCTGTGGTGTGTTTGATTGCTCTGTTAATGTCCTATGCCTTCCTTCTGGCCTTGCTCAAGAAACTTTCAGGCTCAGGTGAGAATACCAACAGGGCCATGTCCACCTGCTATTCCCACATTACCATTGTGGTGCTAATGTTTGGGCCATCCATCTACATTTATGCTCGCCCATTTGACTCGTTTTCCCTAGATAAAGTGGTGTCTGTGTTCAATACTTTAATATTCCCTTTACGTAATCCCATTATTTACACATTGAGAAACAAGGAAGTAAAGGCAGCCATGAGGAAGTTGGTCACCAAATATATTTTGTGTAAAGAGAAGTGAAAGATAAATTATACATTTTATAGTTCCCCTGAGGATCATTGTCCTAAAGCAGGAAGTATTTGCAGTAATAATGCTGCATTGACTTCCTCCTTTCATTTGTGTTATTAAAATTTTACTATAATTTTTCTCTATTCATTCCTCTTTATATTGAAAAAATAGAGGCATTAAGATGAAAATAAATTTACTCACACCTACCCTGAAATTCCCAACAGATCATTATTAGAATTTGAGATATAATAATCTGCTAAAGTACATTTTAACTAATTGTTTATTGAGTACTCTGCAGAGGCTCTGGCTTTGACGGGAACATGTTGAGAAAAATAAATAAGACATGGAGACGTGTCCATTACAAATATGAAGTAAATGGCAAGCATATGGATGCAGCTAGCTTCAAGTTAGCAAATAAATATTTTTGTCATGTTTCAGTGTTGGCTCAGTGGAATGGTATCTGGTCAACATCTTGCTGGGTCTGGAAAAACAGATTATTTGTCCTTTATCTCCTCTTATTTCCAGAGTTGATGGAAAATGAGGATTTTCCATCAACTTATAAACTGAAATACCTTATAAAGGTATTTCAGTTTATATTTCAGGTGGTGTCTATTCAACAGTTTGGAGACAGAACTCAAAATTTTATCACATTATGAAAACAATTTTTATGAATTCAAAGCAGAGTATAATTTGGCTGATACATGAGATTCATGTCATTCCAGATGAAGCCTCCAGGCAACTAGCAATTTTTGTAGCCAGTCCCTACTTACATCCTTCAGAGTGAAAGCAGCCTTGGGGAGAAAGCTTCTAGGTTGACTGGGATTGGTAGACATCTAGCCGTGTAATTTTTTTCTAAACTATCATCTCCTTTGCCACTTTTGTATGTTTTCCATAATTGCTAATTCTGCCTCTCATGTTAAACTTAAATTGGTAGAGTGCTGTTTTCGTTAGTGCTTAATTCAGAGTTCTTTCCCATTGACAGACCTAGACGTATTGGTTCCCATGATCCCTTAGAGAATTATTAGGGACTGATTTCCTATTCTCAAGCACTAAAAACTCACTCTCCAAGCTTCAGAATGTAAGAGGTAGATTAGAACATTTGATTTTATAGGTTATGTTTTTTACTTAAATTTATTAGTTTTTAATTTCAAAACTAGGGAATCTTTTCATTGAAGGGCAAGAATGCATTGGGTATATTAATCTTTAGTCTTCTTTTTTAAATTTGATAATGTAATATGGACTAAATTTTAAGTGAATTAGATCCTTGTCAACATTGGGAATGAATATATAGAAACAAATGGTATAACTATTCCTAGAGTTACTATTTATTTACAGAGATATTATTTATTAATTGAGGAGGTAATTTGTGCCAGACCCAGTGTATCTCAGATGCACAGGATGGAATGGTGGTACACAAAGCTTGTTTTTTGCTTTGGGAATTTTTCCTTATGGTGACCTTCTTCGATCTTCAATGCTATGTTGCTTCTCTTCTAGGAACCCAAAGGCACAGATTGACGTTATAAGTCCTGATTTTTGACTTGACTTCTCATCACCTGGAAGTGAATAAAGCAGTAGACTTCTCTAACATTTTGTAACACAGCATGAAAAAATATAGAGTACAAAAGATATATATATATAATATGATAAAATGATGAGTTACGTTTCTAAATCTTTTATCATCTTACTGTCATTTCTCTATATTTGGTCTAGCCAGACTTCTATTCATTTTGTCACTTATCTTTCATCAAACTAGGGCTGATGCTCTTGGGAAAGGGACCACTGATTTGATATGCTCTTCAAACACCAGCACACTGTACTATATAGAAAGATATTCACTGAAAATACTGAAGCTAGTAATACAAAGGAAAAAGGCATAAAAATAGTGTGATAACTAATTGCTTACTTAAGAATATTATCTGAAATTAGAAACTAATATCAATGAAGAAAAGGGGAACTTTTGGCAAACTCTAGTAAGTAATAACTGAGCCTGATTCATGGAGGCCATAATTGGAATAAGGACTGAGAGCAATTTCACCCCTTGGAGGACATTTGGAAGTGCCCAGAGACATTTTTGGTGGTCACAACTGAGGACATATATTGGCATCTTGTACTGTTTAGACATCTTACAATGCACAGGACAGCCCCCAGCCCCTGACTCCCACATGGATTATCTGGCCCAAAATGTCAATAGTGCCAAGAATAAAGAACTCCATCAGGTTGAGAAACTCTGACTTAAATAATGGGCAGGGATAAGGCAGGTTAGTGTAGAAGAAATAGGTGTTAACCTCATATGCAATCTTGTCTCATTGAATATTGTTTCCAAATAGCTCAGGATCCTCAGCAGTCAAATACAAAATATGATTCAGGACTCCTTTTCCCTATATAACTCCTATATTTTCTTTCAGTTACTTTTAAATGTCTTTTAATCTCTTTTTTTTTCTTTCAGTCTCTCCTACTCCTCTTTCTTTCAAAACTGCTGCTGAGCTACTATGTTTAAAATCAGCAATATCTCGGTTGAGTATATTATCTTTAGCTCAGTATTGTGATTATACTTTCAATTATACACTGACTTGTGTGAGACTTTAGAACCCAAGTCCCATTCATCTTCTGGCTTTTTGCTAATCTCAATATTAACCAGAACTTTATTATTATATCTGGTTAAAAGAGAGCTTTATTGCTCAAACAAAATTAAAGTTCTTCTGTTTTTTTAATTACTAAAATAATATATATTCATTAAAAGTTAAAAACATATGAATATATAAAGAACAAGACAAGTATCACTGGCAATCTCTTTTCTCAGGGATTTTCTTTAACAAAGTTTATAAAGTCTCACCCCTCCAACTCCATTGGAAGCAGACCAGTTGGCCTATCATGCATTGTTCCAAAATATAATTACCATTAAATAGAGGTCCAGGTGAAGACAAGCTACAACATGCTTACATAAATAAGTATAACCCTCAGATTTTATATCCCACAAAACTGGCATTTAAATAAGCAGGCCACAAAGTTTTAAATATGCAACAAAAATCTGTGAATGTTGTTTTTAAGACCTCTTTGATGAAATTATCAGAGAACAAATTACAGTCAAACATGTGACTAGGACAAAAGGCTGGGTTTCTGACACACACACACACACACACATATATATACATATATATACACACACACACACACACACACATATATATATATATATATATATATATATATATATATATATACACACAGTAGTCCTCTTTTATCCATAGGAGATATGTTCCAAGACACCTGTGGATGCCTGAAACCATGGATAGTACCAAATCCTATATATACCATGTTTTTCTTATACATATATGCCTATGATAAAGTTTAATTCATAAATTAGACACAGTAACAGATTTATAACAACCAATAATAGAATAGAACAATTACAACAATATGCCAACATTACTACTCTTGCACTTTGGGGCCATTATTAAATAGAATAAGGATTACTTGAACACAAGCACTGTGATGCTGTGTCTAACTGATAACCAAGTTGGCTACTAAGTGATAACGTGCAGGTGGCATGTATAACATGGATACACTGGACAAAGGGATGACTCATGTCCCTGGAAGGATGGAGAAGGACAGCTTGAGATTTCATCCTGCTACTTAGAATGGGGCATAATTTAAAGCTTATGAATTGTTTGCTGCTGGAATGTTCCATTTAACATTTTTTGGACTGAAGTTGACCATGGACAACAGAAACTACAGAAAGCAACACTGGGTAAGAGGGGGCTACTGTATTTAATCTAGTATTAGGCTTATTAAACTATAAAGACAACTAAGCAGACGTTGAAAACGGAGATCGTCTTCAAGGGAAAGGCAGTCAGGATAATATCTCACTGGTTTCCTTCCTTCCTTCTTTCCTTTTTTTTTCCTTTTTTTTTTTTTTTTAAGCAGAGTCTCACTCTGTGTCCCAGGCTCCAGGGCAGTGGCTCGATCTCGGTTCACTAAAGTCTTCGCCTCCCGGGTTCAAGCAGTTCTCCTGCTTCAGCTTCTTGAGTAGCTGGGATTACAGGTCCATGCCACCATGCTCGAGTAATTTTTGTATATTTAGTACAGAAGGGGTTTTGCTATGTTGGCCAGGATGGTTTTGAACTCCCGGCCTCAAATGATCCACCTGCCTCGGCCTCCCAAAGTGCTGGGACAGGCATGAGCCACGGGACCCGGCTGATCTCTTTTCTTTAACAACAAAAAAGTAAACCAGTGAAGAGTTATATTATGACAAGAGAAAAGAGTTTTTATCTCAGTGAAAATATAATCAAATAAGAGCATCTTCAGAGCTGGATTATACTCCTAAATGTAGTAACTAGAAATATAAAGTATCTAGAAGAAAACACAGAATAATATATTTGCTTACACAATTGGAATAAGCAATGATATCTTAAGCAGCACAAAAGCAGGTGTAATAATAAAAAGTGATCAAATGAACCTCAAAAAATTAAAAATTACTGCTCGTCAAGATACACTATCATCAAATTATTAAGGAAATCATACACTGGGAGGAAAATTTGGTCTCTCTTAATCTCCCTGTTTCTCTCTGTCTTCAAGTAAAGAAAAATCAGCAAAAAATTTGAACAGACACTCCAGAAAAGAAGATACAGAAGTGATCAGCAAGTTCACGAAAAGATGCACGTCATTACTCAGCAGGGAATGGTCCACAACACACGATCAAGTGTTCAGGCAGAGCGCTCTCCCACTACTCTGAGGAACAGAACAAAATAGCAGAGAAGGAAAAGAGGAAGGGGTTTATCAAGTGCCCCAGGAACATATAACATACTGGAGACTAGACACGTCCATAAAAATGACTCAGTTTCCCCATTGCTTGTTAGTGCTGCCTGGTCAGTGGGCCAGATTCATCCATGGCACTAGGAAGGCAGTCAGTTCTCATCCCCTTCGGACGAATCTTTCTAGAAACTGATATAGCCAATTACCAATACATCCTCACCCTCACGTGCTCTCTCCTGGACTCCGGATGCTCTACCAACATGAAGAAATATATTGAGTGCCTCCAGGTGCTCAGTCCCAGGCACTTGACACTCTAGACTATGCAGCAGCGCTGGGAGGACTCAGCTTTCCGAGCTCCACAATTTTATGTTGGGAGCCTGTGGCAACTACTGACAAAAACAATGTAGCTGCCATCAAGATGTAGTTCTTGTCTGCTGCACTGTTTTAAAGGTGCCCGGTATTTATTTTAATCTGGAATGGTAAGACACACTGTCATGGAAATGACTGTCATGAAGGAAGAAGTTTTTAGACTCACAAATCCCTAGAAATAAGAGGTTGGTTAGGTGAGTGGGGAAATGAGAAAAATGTGGGTAAGAGCCTTTATCATGGTTTCTCTGGAAATAAATGGATGGGGCAGGATAAGCAGGTTTAGGATTGGCTAGATTGAATAATTCCAGTGGGCTCTGGAGGATAGGGGCTGTCTCTAAGTGTCTGGCACTTGGCCCTGGGGTGATTAGGGAAGGCAAATAGTGGCCTGGAGTGTAATAGCGCTATAGGTGCCTGATAAAAGAAGTGGCTGGAGTGTGGTTTCTAGATTGGTTGCAAGTGAGGCTTTTACCATCTCTAGGAATTGGCTAGCCATAAGAGGGATAGTTCCTCCAGTGTTAGGAAGGCACAAGACATCAAAGCATTAGAAATGCAGAAAATATAATGGCATAAGTAAAACACAACACCAAATGTTGGTGAATTAATTGTTGGAGTAACTTGAACTCTCATACATTGATGTTGGGAATTTACAATGGCTAACCACTCTGAAAAACTTAATAGAAACTTCAGGTAATTTCAGGTAGATGTAAACAAACAGCTACCTTATGACCTGATAATCCCATTCGTGTTTAGCTAAGACATGTCTATGAAATGATTTAAATTCGCATGCTAATGAAAACCTTATTGGTGGCCTAAGATTTGAAACAACCCAAATGTCCATAAAAGGATAAAATGATAATAAACAAACTTAGGGTTAAGTATATAATGAAACATTAGTCCGCAGTAAAAAGAAACAACTACAGAAAATGCAACAATACGCATGAATCTCTAAATCGTAATGCTGAGTTTAAAAGCCAGATACAAAATAACACATGTCATATGCTTCTGTTTTTATAAAATCCAAGAAAAGGTAAAACTAATCTATGCTATTAGGAATTAAAAGATGAAAGCTCATTATGATGTTAGATGGTGGGGGTGGATGGCAAAGATCACAAGAAACCTTTCTGGAGTGACGGAAATATTCTTTATCTTGTTTAGAATACTAGTTTCTAAAGTGCATATATTTAACACAAGTTACTACGTTGAACACTTAAATGTGTGTATTTTAATGTATATACATTGTATTCTAAGAAATACAACCAAGAATTTATTTTCATGCTTGCTTGTAAATACAGATAAATTTCTTGAAGGATACAAAAATTAATATTAGCTTCCAGTTTTGAGGTATGGGGTGAAATGGACATATAGGGGACAGATATAAGAAGGAAATTTCTCACTGTATGAATTATTTTTTTATTTAAAAATGTAAATATATTACCTATTCAAAAATTAAATACATTTTTTAAGTCAAGTATATTTAAAGTACACTGCCTAATTTCCAACCTTATGGTAATGCCATTAAAAATTCTGAGTTATTCTTGCTTCCATACCTCTCATATGCAGTCCTTCAATAAGTCCCATTGATTATCTCTCCAAAGTTTATCTTTGGTATAAATTCTTCTGTCTTCTTTTTTACCTCTTATCCTAACCTACCAACATCTCTTATTTATATTAATAGTTCTTCAAATGCTCCCTACTGTTCCCCTTGCCTCCACTTCTTGCATTTTATAGCCCGTTTTTCACTTAGTACCTGGCACAACATTTTAAACATGTAAATCAGGTAGGAACACTCCTCTGCCTGTTACATCTCACACATAGTATGTTGACCGATTGCCATTTGGCCCATATCGGCTCTACCTCTCTATCTTCCCTTACAATTTTTTCCATTTGCTCACTACTGTCTTGCCACACTAGCCTCCTTTCTGCTTCTCAATGCACCAGTCTCTCCCTTAATGAGCTTTCAACAAGTCTATCTTCAGATCTTCCCAGAGACGGTGTAGTTCTGTCATTCAGATCTTAGTTGAAATGTTGCCACCTTGTCAGAAAGGCCCTCCCTGGCCAGCTCACTTGGAATAGTAGTCTCTTCCGCTTTCTCTTATATTTTTATCATAGTGCTCATTACAATCAGTTGTTTTCTCTCTGGTATGTTTGTTTGTTGTCTGTTTCCATGCTTTAGGATGTAAAATCCCCAGGAACAGGGATATTTTCTGTCTTGTTCGGTGCTGCATTGCAGACACTACAATACAGCCTGGTACATGGTTTTAGTTTCTAAGATAGTCTAGGGAGACAAATCTTTCCTAGCAGGAATAACAAGCCTTCATTCTAAGGATTAATTTAGATCATTAGACTATCTTCACTTTAAGTATTGTGGAAAACATTAGGAAGCAAAGTCCCTAATTATGTCTACAATTATGAAAAAATCATATTTTAAAAAATCTTTGGTAGCAAGAAAGACTATAATATACTCAAAAATGGGAATGTTTTTCCATGTGTTTCTTTACTTATATCACTTCTTTTCTGTTTCTTTTAAGAAAGTAAACACTACACTTTTTAGTTTATTTGGTGTATATAGTTTTACAAAATATGAATTTTTGTGCCTGGCTTTTTATTTCCTATTATTCCATTACTGTCTTTGCATTTGTTCCTGTTCTTGCATTTCTCCCCCCCGGTTTTTTTACCTTTATGATTTTGTGTATCTCTTTCTCCCTTTTTCTCTTTTCCCCATGTTCCATTTTTCCCACTTATTATTTTCTGAATTGGACATAAATTAGAACAAAATATTATTGATTATGCATTATATTTGTTGAAAAACTGTTTAGTATATTAATTTTTAAAATAAAAAATCTTTTTAAAATAAAAATAAATCTACTGAAATTTAATTATATTGTGTTCTACTATGTGATTCTTAATTACTTTTCTTCTGTCTAGTAATATTTACTTAAAAAAATAGTTGTCTTTGCTTTAGTGGAACATAGGAGACACTTATTCCTAAAATGAAAACAACAAAGGCCAAGACCACAATAGGGTGTATTTAAGAATACATCTCTTTGTGAGGAATTAGTCCTTCAATATGCAGTTCTCGTCTCCAAGAAGGATTATGCCAAAGAGTCTTTGTGAACATCATTTATTTTTCTTTGCCTATTTCTTTGTCATCAGAAATATGTTGAATTTACCATACTACCTACCTGACCACATTACTTCTTTTCTTGATCTATCAATGATTTCCTATTATACACTTTTTTAAAAAAAAAAAGTAACGTAAGAAATAAAATAACCTCTTTTGGCTTTCTGCCCACATGGACCTAGTAAACATGCTGACTATTCTGTAATATGTGTCACTGATAGAATGTTGATTTTAAAACTTAGAAGTGACATAGTGACTTTTAAATCATATATACTTCACTATTTATATATAACATGTTTCTAGTCTCATTCTTTGACTATATTTTGTTGGCATTTTAACAATTCCCTTTGAAAGTGTTTGCAGCTTTGTTAGCCTTCAAATTCCCAAAGTACATTCTCCATTGCATCACAAATTGGTTGCATAAGAGATTCCTCTGTGAGAAGAGATATTTAACAATGAAGTCAGGAAAAATTAGTTATTGTTCCTTCTATTAGAAGGAGGTGATATCTGCTGTTTGACAGGAGCATTAGATTACTAGAGAGGTAAATGTTTTTCCATTCTCCATATTTATAAGGAACATAAGGAAGAAATGGAAACATATTGTAACACCTCAGGTGGGACATCTGCTGCCTTGAAATGCAAAGATCAGAATTATAGTGATTATATAGGTTATGGGTTTCAAACTAGAAATAGATTAATATGTTTAATCTGAATTCAGTAATACAGTAGCACCTTTTACCTGGTCTTAATAATATAGCCCCAGTTTCTCCTAATATTTAGAATTAATTTATTGGGAATATATAAAGCCTTTATTAACATTGCCTTGGGAATGTTTATACTTGGTCCTAAACCTATAGCTATTAACTGAAAGACGTGAGGGAACAGAAGTCATATCCAATGCAGAAATGCTAGGCTGCAGAAGAAATCTTCACCAACTTCACGATTTTGCAGGAGACTAGCTCTGTCTAGTTCCCACACCTGCTGGGATGAGAGGTTCTTTTACAAAGAGTCTTACCATATACCAATCTGGGGCTTTGACAGCTGGCTGAAATGAAGCCTTCATAAATTCTTTTCTAGTAATTTCTTACATTAACATAGCTACCTTTACCCCAGCAACTCATTTCAAAGGCAGGGACAGAGGATCTATATTATATATTTACTTCTTAGAAACTAAAGCCCCTCTTAATATCTACATTTTTTCCTTGTTTAGTTTTGGTTTAGTCAGACTTCAATATGCTACTTATTGCTATCATTCTCATATTATATTCATAAATCAACACAGTGAGATAAAATAACTCAGGCTAAAGAAGATGACCTTCCCAAGATCTCACGGTTAAAAAAATTGCACAATGAAGAACTTAAACCCAGATAGATGCCCAAACGAGGGCTTTTTAAATGACATCCATTACTTTGCCTAGAAATCATGGCATTATAAACATTGGTATCAGTTAATGATTTGATGATACTCTAACTTTATCCACATTTCTCAGAACACACAAAAAATTAGTGATTATATAGGTTATGGGTTACAAACTAGATAGCACATATTAATAGACATCACATTCTTATTCTTATTTTGGGAACATTTCTAAAATGTGTTTTTGCTGGTAGGGTGGATTAATGAGAAATTTCTTTCAAGCAGAAAGGTGAATAGTGCCACTTTTATTAAGATCAGTTATAAACAGACAAAATATTTGAGGTAATGGGAAATAATTTAAAAGTATTTACACAGTATATTTTAAGTAGGATACTATTCAAGGAAAGTAATTTAGTACTGAAAGATGGGTTAGGTATTTTTAACCCTTACAAAAATTGGAGTGAAGAAACTTCATGTGCTGTCCTTACTACTGTTTCAAAAGAAAACAATAGTGATGCTTCTCAGAATTAATGGGAAGGCAAACATGAGATCTAATAAAGGAGAAATGAATAGAGAAGAAGAGAGTGGAAAAATATTGGAAACTGCAAGAACATTGAGAAGTAAAAACAACAAAGGAGAAAAAATAGAAGAGATAAGAGAAAAGCAAGGGGAATCATTAGAGAACAAATACGAGAGAGAAAGAGAAGATAAAATAGAGAAAGAGAAACCAACTTAAGTAAAAGTATAACTTAAAAAATGAAGTGTAGAAATATTTAGCGAGATGGGAGGGGAAGATAATAAAATAAATATTTTAAAAGGAGGCATGAGGAAATATAAAGAAAAATGAGTGAATTAGTGCCTGTGGATGGGAATCAAATCTCCAAATACCTGCTCCATGAACTTTCTAACAAGAGCCTGGACTCTAAACGTGAACAGTGCATAGCGCAGCCTTTATCTGGAATGTGTGTGTGCCCCCACCCATCACTCTTTCCTCTTCTGTGCTGCTCCAGCATTGTCAGGAACAGATGAAATTTTGTTTCTGTTGAAATTGAAATATAGGATAGAGGGAGTGGCAGTCATTCAGATTTCTATTTCAGCTTCCACTGACAGTGATCCTTCTAACATTGTTATGTTCTTCTAATATAGTTAGACAAGACCAAGCTTGTCTTTGCAGGAATTTCTGTGCTTTTATTTTGCTAGGACTTACTTCATTTTACCTAGAGGAATGTCCACCTTATGAATATATATATTTGGTTTCTGGATCCATAATGAGCATGATGTGAGCACTATCCATATAACAAAAGAGCTTAGAGGGAAGCACACAAAGGGAACACAGTGAATCAAAGATATTTGATGGTAGAGGGTTCCAGATGTTACAGAGTCAGTAGGAGAACAGAAGTGGATAACAGGGAATAAAATGCAAGGTACAGTGCAAGAACCTGAAACTCCCAATCTCAGAGATACTTGAAAGTTTCTCCTATGACCCAAATACATCCTCAATTTTTGAAAGAGTATGAAATAACCAACTGCATAATAACATGCAAGATGTACACAACTTAAGAGTAAGCAGAGAGGGATTCCCGACTTTTCTATTAGCAGGTTTTATATGCACAGAAAGACTGATAAATATTAAGGTCAATAAATGGCCAAGTGCCAAAAAAAAAAAAAAAGAAAAGAAGGGTATGATATGTAAAATTTTATGCTTCTGTTTTGGTTAGGATACGTGTGTTTGCGTGTATTTATTTGTGTCTGTGTGATGTACATACATGTGATGTAAGATACTTTTTTTTGTTTGAGACAGAGTCTTGCTCTGTCACCCAGGCTGGAGTGCAGTGGTACAATATGGACTCACTGCAACCTCCACCTCCCAGGTTCAAGCGACTCTCATGCTTCAGCCTCTGAAGTAGCTGGGACTACAGGCTCCTGCCACCACGCCCAGCTAATTTTTATATTTTTAGTAGAGTCAGGGTTTTGCCAGGCTGGTCTCGAACTCTTGGCCTCAAGTGATCCACCTGCTTTGGCCTCCAAAAAGGGTGGGATTACAGGTGTGGGCCACAGTGCCTGGCCTAGGTACTTCTTTCATAATTCCCAATTCTGACCATACCTGAAAACCTCTGCTATTAATTAATATATTAGGATTAGATATATTTTGAAAAGCATATCTTTTGATGTTTTAAATAGATGTGCCATTATAAATATTTTCTTTGATTTCTTAATTCGGGACTTTATTGTTTTTGTTTCCCTCTCTTCTTACACACCGACTCCTCATTCAGTTAGTTAATGAACCTCTTTCCCTCTACGCTTCATAGTCCACATTATTTTAAAACAAATGTGCTGTGTAACAGAAGCATATGAAATATTTTTCTGTATCACATTGTAGTATTTTGTTCTAGCTCAAGATCTTTAGCTTTTAAATTTTTTTATTTCAACCACAAACCATTTTTTGAACATGCACCAAAAACATACGTATCTTCTTTATGCATTTCATATCCAATTACATCATGATTCTATATAAATGTAAAATGTTCAAAAATAAAACTTCAAACAATAGGATACAATAATGTAAGTGTAGAAATTCTCCTATTATTGCTTTCATACCAATAAATTATCATGCACATCCCCAAGCATGAGCACAGTCTCAATTTGGAAGCCACTGTACAGAGAAGCCTCAGATCTTGTTTTCTCCAGAGTGACTGAGAGCTTTTTATTTAGACCAGTTCATTTGGTTGATGTTCTATAGAGAAAAGGGAATTATTTCTGGTAAGTACAGTTGCCTTTATAAAAGTTTTTAGATAAACATTCCTAAGGTAGCATTTATATAAAATAAATTGTACTAATTGCTGTATAGTTCAATACTCAATAAATTTTGACAAAAATAGATACATATAACCATTATAATTAAAAACGGAACATTTCTGTCCCCTTGAAAAGTTCTGTCATTCTTCTTTGCTGTCAATCCCAGCTCATCTTCCATTCAAAGCAAAACATGAAGACCTCAATAACTGGGGTTAAGTTTTTTCTCAGTCAGAAAAATTTTCATATGCCTCATACAAATCAGGAACAAATTCAGAGCAGTAACATCCAAGTCTCACATGAGTGAACACTTAAACAGAAGCACAGGACTGAAACAGAAGAAAGAGTGTGGCTTCAGGACCAGGGTGTTGGCTATCATGAAATGAGGAAGCATAAACAGTAGAAGTGATTTCTTAGGTTGTTGAGATAGATAGAATAATATAAATGTGGCATACCTTGTGTTTAGTTCAAGAACTATAATCTAGATGTAACACCTGAAAATAAACTCTTTTATTGATATTCTACAGGCAGAAGAAATGAAGATAGCAAACAACACAGTAGTGACAGAATTTATCCTCCTTGGTCTGACTCAGTCTCAAGATATTCAGCTCTTGGTCTTTGTGCTGATCTTAATTTTCTACCTTATCATCCTCCCTGGAAATTTTCTCATTATTTTCACCATAAGGTCAGACCCTGGGCTCACAGCCCCCCTCTATTTCTTTCTGGGCAACTTGGCCTTCCTGGATGCATCCTACTCCTTCATTGTGGCTCCCAGGATGTTGGTGGACTTCTTCTCTGAGAAGAAGGTAATCTCCTACAGAGGCTGCATCACTCAGCTCTTTTTCTTGCACTTCCTTGGAGGAGGGGAGGGATTACTCCTTGTTGTGATGGCCTTTGACCGCTACATCGCCATCTGCCGGCCTCTGCACTGTTCAACTGTCATGAACCCTAGAGCCTGCTATGCAATGATGTTGGCTCTGTGGCTTGGGGGTTTTGTCCACTCCATTATCCAGGTGGTCCTCATCCTCCGCTTGCCTTTTTGTGGCCCAAACCAGCTGGACAACTTCTTCTGTGATGTCCGACAGGTCATCAAGCTGGCTTGCACCGACATGTTTGTGGTGGAGCTTCTGATGGTCTTCAACAGTGGCCTGATGACACTCCTGTGCTTTCTGGGGCTTCTGGCTTCCTATGCAGTCATCCTCTGCCATGTTCGTAGGGCAGCTTCTGAAGGGAAGAACAAGGCCATGTCCATGTGCACCACTCGTGTCATTATTATACTTCTTATGTTTGGACCTGCTATCTTCATCTACATGTGCCCTTTCAGGGCCTTACCAGCTGACAAGATGGTTTCTCTCTTTCACACAGTGATCTTTCCATTGATGAATCCTATGATTTATACCCTTCGCAACCAGGAAGTGAAAACTTCCATGAAGAGGTTATTGAGTCGACATGTAGTCTGTCAAGTGGATTTTATAATAAGAAACTGAGAAGGAGGAATTCTGGCTGGAATTCATATCATTCATTTAACAAGTCCTGTTTTTCACTGAGTACCTCCCATTTGCCAGGTACCATTGTAGGCAATGGAGGAGAGTTATGCATAATGAGAGAATAAACTTATTATATTTAAAGAATATAAAGGAAACCCCAGAGTGGTTGAAGTATAATGAGTAAGTGTGAGAAATTTAAGGGTTAAGTTTTATGTGACTGCAAGGGTCTTTCAGTCTGAGGTAAGAATTTTTTCATATTTTAATTGTGGTAAGAACCCATTTTAATGTTTTAAGCAAAGGAGCAGTTCATCTACAATGCTTTCCTCTACTGGTTAGAGCAACATCAGCAAGATTTTAGGCAGAGATTAATAAACTGTAAAATATCAAAAACCAAATGTATGTTGCAAGTATGTTATGAAAAAGACTATAGTATTTTATATATATAAATATATTAAAATTATATATATTTTAATGTTTTTATATATATTTTATATATATGTATATTTACATATATATAAAATAAGTAATATATTTTTATATATTTATAAATATATATTTTTATATATTTATAAATATATATTTTTATATATTTAATCAATATATAAATAAATATATATTTCCCCCCCAAAATTTGGTGGTGAGATAAGAAAGGAAGCCAATTTGTTTCATGGTAAAATGTCATGAAATTATTCCACTTATTTTTTCTTCAGAGCTTCACGATGATTATTAGACATTATTAGATATTTAGTACTTCAGATTGTATTATAGATTACATAAATCACTCCAGTTATTTTCAACATAGTGAAGCAGCTTCGTTGTCTGGGGAAATACCTGCAGTTCGTTGTCTTGTGCTGTGCCGATTAATGACACAGACTCACACACGGAGTGGGTTAAGGAACAGAAAGTTTATTAGGCAAGAAGGAAGAGAAGAGCTTCCCCATACAGAGGGAGAAGGACTCTGAATGGAGTAACCCCACTTGTGGGGAAAGCAGTCAGTTATATTGGGAGGCTCAGGGAGGTAGTGTCTGATTTGCATAGGGCCCAGGGGATTCCTTTGACCAGGTGTGTCATTCACACAACCCATGAAAAGACTGGCCCTCCCACCCTAATCTTTTATTCTGCAAATGCGGCTTCTACCTGGCTGTCGCCATGATGCCTGCACATGTGGCTTTACTTGGCTGGTGCCATGACAACTGCACATGTGGCAACAAAGGAAAGTGAGCGGGAACAGTCATATTGAGTGGACCTGGCTCTTAGCCACCTGCATTTACTTCTCCAAGCCTGTAATTTACATACCTATGCTTCCAGCATGGCTTTTCAGGCTGCTTTCTGTTAGAAAAGAAATGGTTTGGGGGCTGCTTTTTTATTAAAAGGAAAAGCCTTTCTGAGGACTCTTTTACCCTTTCTAGCTGCCTAAAAATAATTTCTTAATAACTCCTGTATTAATAGTGGGGTCTAATGTGAGAAATTAGGTACTTATAAAATTTTTCAAGTATAGAAGACCATTATTTATGCTGGGCATCTATTATAGAAATTGTTACCAGAAAAACACTGTAGAACTAACCTGCTAAGTGACCTATCCCTGCCATAACCAGGAGACTGAGAGGACAAGAAGCCACTTTCCCAGCTCTTGGCTCAGGGAACACATCAATCAGCCATGGTCTGGCATGAAGAGAATTGTAGAGAGCACCTCTCATGTTATTGTCTCTCTAATTATTTTTTCTAAATTAAATTTTGTATGAGTATATTTGATAGAATCTGTAATGGTAGTGGCAAAAGTCTTTGACAAACCTGTCTGTGTGTTGACAGCTTCTTCAGAAAGCAAACAAAAATGGTGGTAAAATATAGGATAAAAAGTTTGCAATCTTGGAGGTGAGAAAGGCCATTGAAGTTTGACAAAGAAAATGAAAATAAAAAGATGTATTAAATCTTGATATCTGCTACATATTTTGATATGTAAAAATGAAAAAAGTTTATATGGGCAAAAGGCAGAAAAACGCTGAAAATATTTCTATGGCATATAGATGTGGAGATTATTTTCTGCATGATTATAAGGTTTGCATGTAAATTGAATATTTTTTCCCTACTCCAAGATTGTATGAGAGGGCATCCATGAATAAAAATTAAAATAAAAATTACTAAAAATCGATATAAACGATAAAAATTTATCTAATACATAAATAATTTGCTTAAATGAATATGAAATAGGTACATAGAAGGAAATGTGGGCAATGAACAAAGGAAAAAAACGAAAAGGCTTATAAGCATGAAAGTAAGCTTACCCTTAAAAATCAACCACAGAAATGAAAACCACTGATTTTGATTAGCATGTAGGATAATGTTGCTCATGTATTATCAATAAAAAAGTACAGAATAGGGTGAGGTGCCAGAAGCAGCTATCATGTGCCACTCATGGAGAGGGAGACAGGGTGGTGAGTAAACACTAGCTCTTCACATGGATCGTCCATGAGGCCATGTTAGGATTCACCAAGGAAGCAACTGCAATCGATGGACAGCAGAAAGGGGCCAGGCAGGAAAGCAGTCCACCCAGGATTGGCATAGAGCCAGGTGAGGCTCCCTACCATAGGGAAAGGGTGAATAAGAACCTCCTGGGACCCACACTTCTGCCATGGGCCTTTGCAATCCTGGCACAGGAGATCTCCCGTGACCCCGAGGGGCTTCCAGACCAACACAGAGAGGTTACTGGAGTCTGGGCAGAGCTGCAGCTAGGGTCACCTGGAGCCCCATGAGCCGTGGGGCCCTGAGCACCTTGGTGCCAGCTGCCATAGCCACACCAACAAGGGAGGCCAGCTCTCTCGCATGCCCCTAGAATAGGGGCTGCATCCACGGTGCTGAGGAGCAGACTGACCGCAGGCCCCGCTTGCTTCATCAAGCCAGGCAAAGCCCACTGGCCTGGGTCGCCCACGCAGCCACCCCACTCCCACCTGAGCACTCAGGCCAGTCAGGCTCTCCATTTCTTTGGAAAGGAACTCCCAGAGGTAACCAATAGGCCTGAGATTTCTGGTACTGTGGTCTCCCACATGCCGCCCTCAGGCTGGGGAGGGATCGAAGAGCGCAGGAACTATCCTAGACCTTCAGCAAGGCATACGAACAGCTGTCATACGGAAAAGTGGCCAGATTATTTTCCACGTGGGTCCCTGTCCCAGCTACTCCTCACTGGGCAGGGCCTCCGAGCCTGGGGTCCCAGCACAGCTGCCCCACCCCCACCCGTTCTTTCATTTGGCGGTGGCCCTAAGTTTCTCTGGGGTAGAGCTCCCAGAGACAACCGGCAGGCTCTGTGCCACCCCTAGCTGAGTGTAAGGTCCTTCCTTGCTCCCCGCAGGCTAGGTAGGGAACAAAGAGCCTGACTGCAGCTGTCCTAGGGAGAGAAGGCCAGATTGTCTTCCTTGCGAGCCCCTGACCCCGGCTACTCTTCACCAGACACGGCCGGCTTTGGCCCACAACACAGCCGCCCCACCCCTGGATCCTTCACCTTAGCAGTAGCAGTAGCTCTGGGTGGAGTTGCCAGAGGCAGCTGACAGGCCCTCTGCCACTGCTGCCACCCCCAGGGCTAGGGAGGGAACAAAGAGCCTGCTTGCTGTGCTTGCACATCCAGCATGCCACAGCTGCACTACGGAGAGGAGGTCAGACAGTCCCCCCAACAAGCCCCCGATCCCTCTGCTCTCCACCAGGGAGGGCCCTGGGCTTGCGCCCACAGCACAAACGTCCCATCCCGGGCTGATCATTCTGGTTGGCAGCGGCTCTGAATTTCTCTGGGGTGGAGTTCCCAGAGACAACTGACAAGCCCTCTGCCACCGACACCGCCAAGGTCCCCTTCCCTGCTCCCCCAAGCAGGGGAGGGAATAAAAAGCCCGAACTCGCCCCAGGTCCAACACTAGAGCGGGAAGAGAAACCCACACTCCCAGAGCACCGAGAGGGGTAACCGCATGAGTTCCTGGGCTGCTGTGGGAGCGGGGCGCGCCTCCCTCTGCAGGAGGAGCCTGGAAAAGGTGTGGCCTATCTCCCTGCGGTGGCCTCTGCCTGAGGGAGCCCCGCAGCCTGGAACACCTAGCAAAAGAAATGATGGTGCAGTGCTAGTGATCGGAGGGGGTTCCCCCAAGGCTCAGGAGCTGACCTGGTGAGGGGGTCACTTCTTTCCCCGCTGTACGGGAGACCAGGCTGTAGATGTGAGGAAGTACAAAGGAACCACAGGCCTGAGCAAGAGTGTATTTACCGTCCATTACTCTTAAGCGACATCTACTGGATTGCAGCCAAAACTGCTACAACACCAAAAATATTTTGCTAATATCCCCCAGTGAAATCAAAGGCAAGAATCCAGCCACAAATAAAGACCCTGCACAAAGCCTTGGCTATCTGAAAACATTCAGAAACAAAGCCAAGTGACTATACTCAAATTACACCACAGGTAAAGGAACGCCAATGCTTCCAGATGAGAAAGAATCAGTGCAAGAACTCTGACAATTCAAAAAGCCAGTTTCCCCATACCTCCAGATGAGTCCACCAGACCCCAAGCAATGATTTTTTTTATTTGCTTTCCTTATTTGTTTGCTTGTTTGGAGATACCTTTTACTTTTTTAATTTTAATTTTTTAATTTTTAGGTTCAGTTATACATGTGCAGATTTGTTATATAGGTAAATTGCTTGTCATTGGGGTTTGGTGAACAGATTTATCACCCAGGTAATAGGCATAGTACCTGATAGGCAGTTTTCTGATCCTCACCCTTTTCCCACAGTCCAATCTCAACTATGCCCAAGTATGTATTGTTCCCTTCTTTGTGTTCATGTGTATTCAAGGTTTATCTCAAATTTGTAAGTAAGAACATGTAGTGTTTAGTTTTTTGTTCCTATGTTGGTTCACTCAGGAAAATGGCCTCCAGCTCCATGCATGTTGCTGCAAAGGATATGATCTCATTCTTTTTATGACTGCATAGTATTCCATAGTATATTTGTACCATATTTTCTTTATCAAGTTCACCATTGATGGGCATCTAGGTTGATTCCATGACATTGCTATTGTGAATATTGCTACGATGAAGGTACTTGTGCATGTGTCTTTATGGTAGAATGATTTATATTTCTTTGGGTATATGCCCAATAATGGGATTGCTGGGTTGAATGCTACTTTGGTTTTAAGTACTTTGTGAAATCACCACACTGCTACCCATAATGGCTGAACTAATTTATATTCCCACCAGCAATGCATAAACATTCCGTTTTCTCTGCAAACTTGCCAGCATGATCTATGATTTTTTGACTTTTTAATAATAGCCCATCTGACTGGTGTGAGATGGTATCTCATTGTGCTTTTGATGTGCATTTCTCTAATGATTAGTGATGTTGAGCATTTTTTTTCATATGCTTCTTGGCCAAGTGTATGTCTTATTTATTTTTTTTGAGATGCAGTTTCACTCTTGTCACCCAGGCTGGAGTGCAATGGTGCAATCTCGGCCCACTGCAACCTCTACCTCCTGGGTTCAAGAGATTCTCCTGCCTCAGCTTCCCCAATAGCTGGGATTACAGGCACCTGCCACCATGCCTGGCTAATTTTTGTTATTTTTAGTAGAGATGGGGTTTCACCATGTTGGCCAAGCTGGTCTCGAACTCCTGACCTCAGGTGATCCACCCGCCTTGGCTTCCCAAAGTGCTGGGATTACCGGCGTGAGCTACTGCGCCCAGCCTTGACTACTCTTTTTTTTTTTTTTTTTTTTTTTGATGGAGTCTCACTCTGTCACCAGGCTGGAGGGCAGTGGTGCGGGCTCGGCTCACTGCAACCTTTGCCTCCTGGGTTCAAGCAATTTTCCTGCCTCAGCGTCCCGAGTAGCTGGGACTACAGGCGTGCATTTGCAAATACTTTAACCTATTCTATAGGTTGTCTGTTTACTCTGTTGATAATTTATTTTGCTGTGCAGAAGCTTTTTAGGTTAATTAGGTCACATTTATTAATTTTTGCTTTTGTCATCTTTGTCATGAAATCTTTGTCAGGGGCTATGCTGAGAATGGAATTTCCTAGGTTGTCTTCCAGGGTTTTTATAGTTTGGGGTTTCACATTTAAGTCTTTAATCCAGTTGGATTGATTTTCATATATGGTATAAGGGAGGGGTTCAGTTTCCATTTTTTGCATATGGCTACCTAGTTATCTCAGCACCATTTATTGAATAGGGAGTGCTTTTCCCATTGCTTGTTTTTGTCAGCCTTGTTGAAGATTAGATGGTTTTTGTTTTTAGTTCTGTTTATGTGGTGAATCACATTTACTAATTTGCATATGCTGAACCAACCTTGTGTTCCAGGGATAAACCCTACTTGATTGTGTTGGAGTAGAGTTTTAATGTGCTGCTGGATTCAGTTTGCTAGTATTTTCTTTTTTTCTTTTCTTTTTTTTTTTTTTTTTTTTTTTTTGCTAGTTTTCTTTTTTTGTTGTATCTCTGCCAGGTTTTGGTATCAGAATGATGTTGGCTTCATAGAATAAATTAGGGAGGAGTCCTTCCTCCTCAAATTTTCAGAATAGTTTCAGAGGAAAGGTACCAGCTCTTCTTTATGCATCTGGTAGAACTCAGCTGTGAATTCCTCTGATCCTGGGCTTTTTCTGGTTGGTAGGCTTTTTATTATTAACACAGTCTTGGAACTTGTTATTAGTCTGTTCAGAGTTTCAGTTTCTTCCTAGTTCAATCTTAGGAGGTTGTATGTTTCCAATAATTTATTAATTTCTTCTAGTTTGTGTGCATAAAGTTGTTCATAGTAGTCTCTGAGGGTTTTTAAAAAATATTTCTTTGGGGTTGGTGGTAATGTTTCCTTTGTCATTTCTGACTGTGTTTATTTTTATCTCTTCTCTTTTTTGCTTTATTAGTCTAGCTAGTGCTCTATCAATCTGATGTGTTATTCTGAAGCAACAAAACCTGGATTTGTTTATCTTTTGTATGGTTTTTTGCATCTCAATTTCTTTCAGTTCAGCTCTGATTTCAGTTATTTCCCTTCTCTTGCTAGCTTTGGGACTGATTTGCTTTTGTTTCTCTAGTTCCTCTTGGTGTGATGTTAGGATGTTAATTTGAAATCTTTCCAATATTTTGATGTAGTTTTTTTTTTTAGTGATATAAACTTTCCTCTTAATACTGCTTTATCTGTGTCCCAGAGATTTTGATACGTAGTATGTTTGTTCTCATTAGTTTCAAAGAATTTCTTGACTTCTGCCCGAATTTCGTTGTTTACCCAAAAGTCATTGAGGAGAAGGTTGGTTAATTTTCACGTATGCTTTTGATGTATTTTATTGTATTGATTTCAATGTTTATTGCATTGTAATCTGAGAAAGTGTGGTTTGTATGATTTTGGATTTTTTGAATTTCCTGAAAATTGTTTTATGATTGATTGTGTCGTTGATTTTAGAGTATGTGCCATGTGCAGATGAGAAGAATGTATAATATTCTAATGTTTTTGGGTGGAGAGTACTGTAGATGTCTGTTAGGACCATTTTGTCAAATGTTGAGCTCAGTCCCGAATCTCTTTGTTCATTTTCTGTCTCAATGCTCTAATATTGTCAGTGGGTTGTTGAAGTCTCCCAGTAGTATTGTGTGGTTATCAAAGTCTCTTCAAAGGTCTCTAAGAACTTCCTTTATAAGTCTGGGTACTTCTGTGTTAGATGTATATATTCTTAGGATTGTTAGGTTTTCTTGTTGAGTTTAACCCTTTACCATCATGAAATACCCTTGTCTTTTTTGATTGTTATTGGTTTATAGTCTATTTTGTCTGAAATTAGAATCAGACCATTTGCTCTTTTCTGTTTTCTTTGGCTTGGTCTATTTTTTCTCCATCCCTTTATTTTGAGCCCCTGGATATCACTGCATGTGAGATGGGTCTCTTGCAGAGAGAATACAGTTGGGTCTTGCTTCTTTATCTGACTTGCCACTCTATGCCTTTTAAATGCCTTGAAGCATTTAACCCATTTACATTCAAGGTCACTCAAGGTTAGATTGTGTCTTTCCCAGCAATGATTCCTAAACCATAAGAAATTACTGAAATGAGAGACATAGAATTCAGGATCTGGATGTCATGGAAGCTCATTGAGATTCAGGACAAATTTGAAATCCAATCCATGGAATCCAGTAAAATGACAGAAGAGCTGAAAGACAAAATAGCCACTTTAAGAAAGAACCAAACTGAAACTCTCGAGTTAAAAATTCACTAGAAGAAGTTCATAATACAGTTAGAAGTATTAACAGCAAAATAGACCAAGCTAAGGAAAATATCTCTGAGCTCAAAGACTGGTTCTTTGAATTAACACTGTGAGACAAAAATAAAGAAAAAACAATTTTAAAAGTGAACAAAACTTCTGAGAAAGATTATATAAAGAGACCAAATCTACAACTCATTGCCATTACTGAGAGAGAAGGACAGAGAATAAACAACTTGGAAAATAAATTCGACTATATAGTCCATGAAAATCTTCCTAATCTTGCTAGAGAGGATGATATGCAAATCCAAGAAATACAGAGAATCCTGGCTAGATATTGTACAAGATTTACAAGGCACATAATCTTCAGATTCACCATAGTTAATGCAAAAGAAAAGGGATCTAGAAAGAAAGGTCGGGTTATGTATGAAGGGAACTCCATCAGGCTAGCAGCAGACCTTTCAGCAGAAACTTTATCAGCCAGAAAAAATTAGGGGCCTATTTTTAGTATTCTTAAAGAAAATAAACTCCAACCAAGAATTTCATATCCCACCAAACTTAGCTTCATAAGTGAAGGAAAAATAAAATCCTTCTCAGAAAATAAAATGCTAAGGTAATACATTTCAACTTAGCTAGCCTTATAACAGGTCCTTAAGGGAGTGCTAAACACGTGAACAAAAGAACAGCATCTGCTGCCACAAAAACACGCTTAAGCACATAGCCCATAGACACTATGAAGCACTACACAGTCAAGTCTATAAAACAGCCAGCTAACAACATGATGACAGGATCAAAATCTGACATATCAATATTAATCTTAAATGTAAGTTATCTAAATGCCCTACTTAAAAGGCATAGAGTGGTAAGTTGGATAAAAAGGCAAGACACCACTGTCTGCTGTCTTGAAGAGACCAATCTCATATGTAATGAAACCCACAGGGTCAAAGTAAAGGGATGCAGAAAGATTTGTCATGTAAACAAAAAACAAACAAAAAATAGTAGGGGTCACTATTTCTTATAGCGTATAAAACAAACCAACAACAATTACCAAGGACAAAGAAGGGCATTACATAATGATAAAGGGTTCAGTTCAACAAGAAGACTTTATCCTAAATGTATACACACTGAACATTGGAGCACCCGACTCATAAAACAAGTTTTTCTTGGCCTACAAAAAGACTTAGACAATCATACAATAATACTGGGAGACTTCACTGCTCCACTGATGGTTTTAGATCGTTAAGGCAGAAGACGAACAAAGAAATTCTGGACTTAAATTTGACACTTGACTAATTGGACTTAATAAACATCTACAGAACACTCCATCCAACAACCATAGAATATTCATTCTCATCTACACATGGAACATATTGTAAGATCAACCACACGCTTCGTCAGAAAGCAAGTCTGAATACATTCAAAAACACTGAAATCATCCCAGGCACATTCTTGAACCACAGTGCAATAAAATTAGAAATAAACGTCAAGAAGGTCTCTCAAAAGTACACAAATTCATGGAAAGTAAACAACTTGCTCCTGAGTAACTCATGGGTCCACACTGAAATTAGGCAAAAATCAAAAAAATTCTTTGAAATTAAAACAGGGACACAACTAACCAAAATCTCTGAAATGAAGCTAAAGCAGGAAATAAAACTTTTTATATAAATAAGTAAATAAGATAATAAGAGGAAAGATTATAGCACTAAATACCTTCATCAAGAAGTTAGAAAAATCTGAATTTAATAATCCAACTTTGTACCTAAAGGAACTAGAAAAAAAAAAGCTCAAAGCTAGCAGAAGAACAGATATAACTACAAATAGAGAAAAACTTAATGAAAGTGAGATGCAAAAATATGTACAAAAGGTCAGCGAAACCAATAATTGGTCCTTCAAAATAAAAATAAACAAAATTGGTAGATTGCTAGCTAGATTAACATAGAAAAAAAGCTGAAGACCCAAATGAGTACAATCAGAAATAACAAAAATGATGTTGCAACTGATCCCACAGAAATACAAAAGATACTCAAAGAATACTATAAGCAACTTTATGCATACAAATTAGAAAATCTAGAAGAAATGGATAAATTCATGGAAACACACAATCTCCCAAGATTGAATCCCTGGAAGAGATTGAAACCCTGATTAGACCAACATCAAGCTGTGAAACAGAATCAATAATAAAAAAACCTACCAACCAAAGTAAGTCCTGGGCCAGATAGATTCACAGCTGAATTCTACCAGAGTTAAAAAAAGAACTCTACCAATTTTATTGAAACTATTCCAAAAAATTGAGGAGTAGGAGCTCCTCCCTAACTCATTCTATGAAGCCAGTATCATCCTGATACCAAAACCTGGCAGGGACAGAACAAAAAACAAATCATCAGGGCAATATCCCTTATGAATACAGATGCAAATATCATCGACAAAATATTAGCTAATTGAATCCATCAGCACATCAAAAAGTTAACACACTGTGATCAAGTAGGTACTATTCCCGAGAGGTAAGGCTGATTCAATGTATGCAAATCAATAAATGTGATTCATCACATAAACATAATAAGAGACAAAAACCACATGATCATCTCAATAGATGCAGAAAAAGCATTCAATAATATCCAACATCCCTTCATGATAAAAACCCTTAACAGACTAGATTTTGAAGGAATATACCTCAAAACAATAAGAGCCATCTATGACAGACCCACAGCCAACATGATACTGAATGGGCAAAAGCTGGAAGTATTCCCCTTAAGAACTGGTAAAGGACAAGGATGTACATTCTCACCACACTTCTTCAACAGAGTACTTGAAGTCCTAGCCACAGCAATTATGCAAAAGAAAGAAATAAAAGATATCCAAATAGGAAAATAAGAAGTCAAACTATTTCTATTCACTGATGATATAATTCTATACTTAGAAAACTAGCTTTCACAAAAAGGCAACTAGAACTGACATACAATTTTAGGAAGGTTTCAGGACATGAAATCATTGTATAAAAATCAATAGCATTTCCATACATCAATAATGTCCAGGCTGAGAGTGAAATCAAGGACACAATCCCATTTACAATAGGCACAAAGAAAATTAAATACCTTGGAATACAGTTAACCAGAAAACCCTCTACAAAATTAATGGCAAAAACACTGCTGACAGAAATCAGAGATGACAGAAATAAATGGAAAAACATTCCATACTAATAGATTACAAGAATCAATATAGTTAAAATGGCCACACTGCCCAAAGCAATCAACAGTTTAATGGTATTCCTATCTCACCACCAACACCATTCTTCTCAGAATTAGAAAAAAAGATAGAAAATTCATACAGAGCCAAAAAAGCCTGAATAGTCAAAACAATCCCATGCAAAATGTACCACATGAACATATGCACCTACTCTGTACCCAGAAAAATTGAAAAAAATGTAAAAAGAATGAAACTAGAGGCATCACACTACTCAAACTATAAGGCCATTGTAACCAAAACAGTATGCTACTGGTACAGAAACAGACACATAGACCCATAGAACAGAATAGAAAACCCAGAAATAAATCCATGCACTTACAACCATCAGCTCTTCAACAAGGCAGACAAAAATAAGCAATGGAGAAAAGACTCTCTGTTTAGAAGCCCCTACTGAGGAAAGTTGTGGGCTTGAGTCTGGAGCCTAAGAACATTCAACCAAGCTAACTCTCAGGTCTCTCTATTCAATAAATGGTGCTGGGATAACTGGCTAGTCAGATACAAAAAAAAGTGAAACTTGACCCTTATTTTTCACCATATACAAAAATCAACTCAAAATCGATTACAGATTTAAATTTAAGACCTCAGCCTATAGAAATCCTAGAAGAAAACCTAGGAAATACTCTTCTCAGCCACAGCCTTGGCAGAGAATTTTTGGCTGAGTCCTCAAAGGTAATTGCAACAAAAACTAGAGTTGACAAGTGGGACCTCATTAAACAAAAGAGCTTCTGCACAGCAAAAGGAACTATCAATAGAGTAAGCAGAAAACCTACAGAATGGGAGAAAATACTCACAAGCTATGCTTCCAAACAAAGGTCTAATATCCAGAAAGTATAAAGAACTTAAACAAAGCAACAAGCAAAAAAACAAAACAAAAAAAATCCACTTAAAAATGGGCAAATAAGGCAATCCTAAGCAAAAAAGAACAAAGCTGGAGGCATCATATTACCCAACCTCAAACTATACTACAAGGCTACAGTAACCAAAACAGCATGATACTGGTACAAAAACAGACACATAAACCAATGGAACATAATGAGAGGCCAGAAATAGTGCTGCACACCTATAACCATCTGAACTTTCACAAAGAGGATACAAACAAGCAGTAGGGAAAGGACTTTCTATTCAATAAATGGTGCTGGGATAATGGGCAAGCCACATGCAAAAGACTGAAATGTAACCCCTTCTTTCTTTTCCATTTGTTTTATTTTATTTTATTTTGTTACTATTATACTTTAAGTTTTAGGGTACACGTGCACAACGTGCAGGTTTTGTTACACATGTATACATGTGCCATGTTGGTGTGCTGCACCCTACAAAAATCAGTTCAACATGGATTGGAGAATTAAATGTAAAACCGCAAACTATAAAAACCCCAGGAGATAACTTAGGAAATTCCATTCTCAAATAGGCCCTGGCTAGTATTTCATGGTGAAGACACCAAAAACATTGACCACAAAAACCAGAAATTGACAAATGAGACCTAAGTAAACTAAAGAGCTTCTGCAGAGCAGAATGAACTGTCAACAGAGTCAACAGACAACCCACAAAATGGGATAAAATATTTGCAAACTATGCACCCAACAAAGGTCTAATATCCAGAATCTACAAGGAACTTAAATGATCGAGCAAAAAACAATCTCTTTAAAAATTGGGCAAAGGACATGAACAAAGGCTTTTCAAAGACCTACATGCAGCCAAGAAGCATATGAAAAAATGCTCGACATCGCTAAGCACATCAAAACCACAACGAGATACCAACTCACAGCAGTCAGAATGGTTATTATTAAAAAGTCAAAAAATAACATGCTAGTGAGGTTTCAGAGAAGAGGGAACACTTATACGCTGCTGGTGGGAATGTAAATTAGTTCAGCCATTGTGGAAAGCAGCGTGGCAATTTCTCAAAGAAATTAAAAGAGAATTATCATTTAACCTAGCAATCTCATTATTGGGCACATATCCAAAGGAATATAAATCATTTTACCATAAAGACATATGCACACATATGTTCAACACAGTACTATTCTCAATAGCAAAGTTGCCATCAATGGTAAACTGTATAAAGAAAATGTGGTACACAGACACAATGGAATACTATGTAGTCATAAAAAGAATGAGATCATGTCCTTTGCAAGAAAGAGATAAAAGGAAAAGAGTCAAAATTAATGAAACATAAAGTAGACAAACATTAGAAAAAAATTTAAAAGCCAAAAATTGGTATTTTGAAATGATTACCAAAATTGATAAACCCCTAGTAGAATGATGAATTTTAAAAGAGAAACACACAAACTACCAACATTAAGAATAACAAGAGAAGCACTATTAGTCCTAAAGAAACTGAAGGGATAATAAGGGAATATGAAGAATAGCAATATGACAAAACACATTTGCCAAAACTGGCACATCAAGATATACAAAATCTAAATAGGAATATATTTTAAAAGGAAATGAATGTAGAGCTGAAAACTTTCTACTAAGAAAATTCCAGGTTCATATGGCTCAACCAGGGAGTTTTCTAAAATATGTAAGAAACGGGTAATGCCAATTGTATCTAAACTCGTTCATAAAATAGAAGAAAGGATACCATTGCCCAACTTTCTTTATGAGGTCAGTATAACCCTGATACCAAAATCTGACACAGGATTTTGCATTGCAAGGATTTTGCATTACAAGAAAAGATGATTTCTCAAAAACATACACATACAATTTTATTTTTATTTTTTTGAGACGGACTCTGACTCTGTCACCCAGGCTGGAGTGCAGTCGTGCGATCTCGGCTCACTGCAAGCTCCACCTCCCGGGTTCATGCCATTCTCCTGCCTCAGTCTCCCAAATAGCTGAGACTACAGGCGCCCACCACCAAGCCCGGCTAATTTTTTGTATTTTCAGTAGAGACGGGGTTTCACCGTCTTAGCCAGGATGGTCTCGATCTCCTGACCTCATGATTCGCCCTCCTCGGCCTCCCAAAGTGGTGGGATTACAAGCGTGAGCCACCCTGCCCGGCTACACATAAAATTTTAAAACAAAGCATTAGCAATCCGAACATGACAATACATAAAAAGTTGTGACCAGATGGGATGTATCCCAAAAACGCATAGTTGGCTTAACATTTGAAAATCAATCAAGTTAATTGCTATATTCACTGAATGAAGGTGGAAAAATGATATGATCTTGCCAATAGAGGCAGAAAATCATCTGTTTTAACATCCATTCATGTCTGTAAAAAATTCTAAGTACATTGGAAATGAAAGGGAACCTCTCCAGTCCAATAAAGGGCAATTATGAAAAACCTATAGCAACCATTATAACATATGATAAAATCTTGAATGCATGCCCCCTTAAGATTAGGAAGAATGCAAGTATCCATGCTCTCACCACTTCTATTCAACATGTGCTAACCACTGAAATAAAGTTTTTTTTAAAGGTATTAATATTAGGAAGAAAAAAATAAAAATCTATTTATTCATAGAAGAAATGTATGTGTAGAGCATACTATGGTGTCTTTAAAGAACTAGAATTTACAAGGAAATTTATCAAGGGTTGCAGGATACAAGATCAACATTTAAAAACTAAATCTTGGTGAGAATGTGAAACAACTATTAACTCTGAAAAACGAAACAAAGTAAACTTAAATGTTATTATTCTTCTTCCTTTGATTTTTTTGTATAAAGTGTTAAGGATATAAAAATACTAGAAGTCATGCCATAAAAGTAAAAAAAGAAAAAAAAATTCTCTTTGAATTTTTATTTTTTGACTTTTCTTTTTTTTTCTTTTCTTTTTTTTTTTTTTTTTTGAGACGGAGTCTCGCTCTGTCGCCCAGGCTGGAGTGCAGTGGCGCGATCTCGGCTCACTGCAAGCTGCGCCTCCCAGGTTCACGCCATTCTCCTGCCTCAGCCTCCTGAGTAGCTGGGACTACAGGCGCCCGCCACCACGCCCAGGTAATTTTTTTTTTTGTATTTTTTATTACAGACGGGGTTTCACCGTGTTAGCCAGAATGGTCTCGATCTCCTGACCTCGTGATCTGCCCACCTCGGCCTCCCAAAGTGCTGGGATTATAGGCGTGAGCCACCGTGCCCAGCCATTCTTTGACTTTTTAATAATAGTCCTTCTGACTGGTGTGAGATGGTATCTCATTGTGGTTTTGATTTGCATTTCTCTAATGAATAGTCAAGCTGAGCATTTTTTTTTTCATATGCTTATTGGCCGTATACATGTTTTCTTTTGGGAAGTATCTTTTCATATAAAAAGTGGTCATTTTTTTGAGAAAAAAATGAATAAATTCAGAGACAAACTCTTGTTGGTTAAAAATAATATTGAATATATACATGTCAATGCATAAATAGAATACAATTTAATAAAATACCAGTAATACTTTTCATTGTAAAATTAATTCAAGATTATCTAGAAGAGAAAATCTATCCAAGGTGATAAAACTTTCCTAGAAGGATTAAAAAGTCTCCATTTTGAGGACTATTTTAGATCTTCAGATTAATTTTATCTTATCTATTAGAGTGAACATTAAGAGGTGAGTAAGATCCTGGATTATATGCACAATTATGAAAAAAAATCATGTTTTTAAAAGTTTTGGTGGCAAGACTAACCTACTCCAAGATGGGGTTGTTATTCCACTTAAGAACGTATCTAACCTCATTCATTTTGCTTCCTTTCTCTATTTTCCTCTGTGCAGCTCTCTTTATCATTGTTTTCTTTTTATGGTTATATGGATTTGTAGACTGTGCATTTATATGGACTGCCATGCGAGCTGTCACAGCCCAGACAGTGGAGTGTGGTTGGCTTGTGGGTAGTAAGAAGAATTTACCAACAACTGTATAGATTTGAAAAGGAAAGTTGTATTAGATGGAAAGAACGCTGCAGAGGAGTGCAGCAGGGCTCCTCAGCAAGAGAGGACTGAGGACGCCACTGCAGTAGATTTTTCCTTAGGGTATTTATGGACCTTAAAGTGGGAGCTTAAGGGTAATTTTTACCATATTAGCCACATAGGTCATGGTAAACAATTACATTTATAGACATTTTGGTGCCTTGATGTCAGCAGGGATTGCACAATGAGTTTAGAATACATGCATTCCAGAGATGCATAGAAATTCTGGTTACTCACAAATTTTTGGAAAAGAAATCTCATACCAGATGCCAGCTTTACATAATAGGGATGTCTAATTACTTCTGAATTCCTTGGATAAGGAGTTTTGCCTCTGGATGGTCTTGCTCTCCTCATGGACTAGTATCTCTCTGTCTCTTCACCATTTGTTTTTAAGTCATACGACTATCTTTCCATTTATGTCTCTGCTAGTCTTTCTTTTCCCTTTTCTCTTGATTTTTATTTTGATTATTGTAACTTTTTCTGTACTTCTCTCTCTCTCCTTTCTTCTTTCTTTCCTTTTTCTACTCTTACACTTTGTTTTTGAACTGTGAAATAAATTAAAACAAATGTATTTGGTGATAAATTATGTTTATTACCCCCAAATCTGTGTTCTTATTTCACTTGTAAAGTGACCCATAAACTCAGTGTTTTCTTTAAAGCAAAAGATTAAACTAATTTTTAAATAAAATTAATAAAATTAATTTGCATTTATTTTTTCTGACTCAAATAATTTTTAAAATTAATAATCTTTAATGGAAAAATGTTTTTCATCCTTGTTTTAGTTGAGCAGAGTGAAAGGGAACAAATTACAAATACCAAGAGCATGACACATCTTTTCATGCTATGTAGGAGATCACCTTCCCTTTAGCAATTGTTCTATCCTATACTAAGAAACTATTTTCTCTAAGAAGAATTATGCAGCAGTATTCATGAGCTTTTCAATATTTCCTTTGCTAATGTCCTTATCACCGTCAACATCCTACAACTGAGTAAGGTGCTTATCTTGCATGCAAAATTTAAAGGCGTGCCCAAAAACTCAATAGTAGAGATAAACATTTAAATCAATATTTTGAGAAATCAAAATTAATTTTAAAATTTGTGATAAAGTACCAAATTTTAAGCAAAGGCAGGATCAGCAACTGCCATGTTGAGCCATGTTGGAACCTGAGGCAACAGGAAAAATAAATAATATTGGTGAAGTCTTTTTTAAAAATTATACTTTAAGTTCTGGGATACATGCGTAGAATATGCAGGTTTGTTACATAGGTAAATATGTGCCATGGTGGTTTGCTGCACCCATCAACCTGTCACCTACATTAGGTATTTCTCCTAATGCTATCCTTCCCCTAGCCCCCCACCCTGTGACAGGCCCCCGTGTGGGATATTCCCCTCCCTGTGTCCCTGTGTTCTCACTGTTCAACTCCCACTTAAGAGTAAGAACATGTGGTGTTTGGTTTTCTGTTCCTGTGTTAGTTTGCTGAGAATGATGGTTTCTAGCTTCATCCATATCCCTGCAAATGACATGAACTCATCCTTTTTTATGGCTGCATAGTATTCCATAAAGTATATGTGACCCATTTTCTTTATCCAGTCTATGATTGATGGGCATTTGGGTTGGTTCAAAGTCTTTGCTATTGTGAACAGTGCCACAGTAAACATACATGTGCATGTGTCTTTATAGTAGAATGATATATAATTCTTTGGGTATATACCCAGTAATGGGATTGCTGGGTCAAATGGTATTTCTGGTTCTACATCCTTGAGGAATCGCTACACTGTCTTCTACAATGGTTGAACTAATTTACCCTCCCACCAACAGTGTAAAAGGGTTCCTATTTCTCCACATCCTCTCCAGCATCTGCTGTTTCCTGACCTTTTAATGATCACCATTCTAACTGGCATGAGATGGTATCTCATTGTGGTTTTGATTTGCATTTCTCTAATGACCAGTGATGATGAGCTTTTTTTTCATATGTTTGTTGGCTGCATAAATGTCTTCTTTTGAGAAGTGTCTGTTCATATCCTTTGTTCACTTTTTGATAGGGTTGTTTTTTTTCTTGTAAATTTGTTTAAGTTCCCTGTAGATGCTAGATATTAGCCCTTTGTCAGCTGGATAGATTGCAAAAATTTCCTCTCATTCTGTAGGTTGACTGTCCACTCTGATGAGAGGTTTTTTTTTGTTTGTTTGTTTGTTTGTTTGTTTTTTTGCTGTGCAGAAGCTCTTTAGTTTAATTAGATCTCATTTGTCAATTTTGGCTTTTGTTGCCATTGGTTTTGGTGTTTTAGTCATGAAGTCTTTGCCCATGCCTATGTCCTGAATGGTATTGCCTAGGTTTTCTTCTAGGGTTTTTATGGTTTTAGGTTTTCCATTTACTCCTTTAATCCATCTTGAGTTAATTTTGTATAAGGTGTAAGGAAGGGGTTCAGTTTCAGTTTTCTGCATATGTCTAGCCAGTTTTCACAACACCATTTATTAAATAGGGAATCCTTTTCCCATTGCTTGCTTTTGTCAGGCTTGTTAAAGACCAGATGGTTGTAGATGTGTGGCATTATTTCTAAGGCCTCTTTTCTGTTCCATTGGTCTATATATCTGTTTTGGTACCAGTACCATGCTGTTTTGGTTACTGCGGCCTTGTAGTATAGTTCGAAGTCAGGTAGTGTGATGCCTCTTTCTTTTTGCTTAGGATTGTCTTGGCTATACAGGCTCTTTTTTGGTTCTGTATGAAATTTAAAGTTGTTTTTTCTAATTCTGTGAAGAAAATCAATGGTAGCTTGATGGGGATAGCATTGAATCTGTAAATTACTTTGGGCAGTATGGCCATTTTCATGATATTGATTCTTCCTATCCATGAGCACAGAACGTTTTTCCATTTGTGTCCTCTCTTTTTCCTTGAGCAGTGGTTTGTAATTCTCCTTGAAGAGGTCCTTCATATCCCTTGTTAGTTGTATTCGTAGGTATTTCATTCTCTTTGTAGCAGTTGTGAATGGGAGTTCACTCATGATTTGGCTGTTTATCTATTAATGGTATATAGGAATGTTTGTAATTTTTGCACATTGATTTTGTATCCTGAGACTTTGCTGAAGTTGCTTATGAGCTTAAGGAGATTTTGGGCTAAGATGATGGGGTTTTCTAAATATACAATCATGTCATCTGCAAACTTTGACAATTTACCTCCCTCTCTTCCTATTTGAATACGCTTTATTTCTTTCTCTTCCCTGATTGCCCTGGCCAGAACTTCCAATGCTGTGTTGAATAAGAATGGTGAGAAAAGGCATCCTTGTCTTGTGCTGGTTTTCAAAGAGAATGCTTCCAGCTTTTGCCCATTCGGTATGATATTGGCTGTGGGTGTGTCATAAATAGCTCTTATTATTTTCAGATACGTTCCATCAATACCTAGTTTATTTAGAGTTTTTAGCATGAAGGGGTGAATTTTACTGAAGGCCTTTTCTGCATCTATTGAGATAATCATGTGATGTTTGTCATTGGTTCTGTTTATGTGATGGATTATGTTTACTGATTGGGTATGTTGAACCAGCCTTGCATTCCAGGGATGAAGCCAACTTGATCATGGTGGATAAGCTTTTTGATGTGCTGCTGGATTCGGTTTGCCAGTATTTTATTGAGGATTTTTGCATTGATGTTCATCAGGGATATTGGCCTGAAATTTTCTTTTTTATGTGTGTCTCTGCCAGGTTTTGGTATCAGGATGATGCTGGCCTCATAAAATGAGTTAGGGAGGAGTCCCTCTTTTTCTATTGTTTGTAATAGTTTCTGAAGGAATGGTACCAGCTCCTCTTTGTACCTCTGGTAGAATTTGGCTGTGAATCTGTCTGGTCCTGGACTTTTTTTTGGTTGGTAGGCTATTAATTACTGCCTCGATTTCAGAACTTGTTATTTGTCTATTCAGGGATTTGACTTCTTCCTGGTTCAGTCTTGGGAGGGTGTATGTGCCCAGGAATTTATCCATTTCTTGTAGATTTTCTAGTTTATTTGTGTAGAGGTGTTTGTAGTATTCTCTGATGGTAGTTTGTATTTCTATGGGATCAGTGGTGATACCCCTTTATCATTTTCTATTGTGTCTATTTGATTCTTCTTTCTTTTCTTCATTAGTCTGGTTAGTGGTCTATTTATTTTGTTAATGTTTTCAAAAAACCAGCTCCTGGATGCATTGATTTTTTGAAGGGTTTTTTGTGTCTCTATCTCCTTCAGTTCTGCTCTGATCTTAGTTATTTCTTGTCTTCTGCTAGCTTTTGAATTTGTCTGCTCTTACTTCTCTAGTTCTTTTAATTGTAATGTTAGGGTGTTGATTTTAGATCTTTGCTGCTTTAAGCTGTTGGCATTTAGTGCTATAAATTTTCCTGTAAACACTGCATTAGCTGTGTCCCAGAGATTCTCGTACATTGTGTCTTTGTTCTCATTGGTTTCAAAGAACTTATTTATTTCTGCCTAAATTTCGTTATTTACCCAGTAGTCATTCAGGAGCAGGTTGTTCAGTTTCCATGCAGTTGTGCAGTTTTGAGTGAGTTTCTTAATCCTGAGTTCTAATTTGATTGCACTGTGATCTGAGAGACTATTTGTTATGATTTCTGTTCTTTTGCATTTGCTGAGGAGTGTTTTACTTCCAATTATGTGGTCAATTTTATAATAAGTGTGATGTGGTGCTGAAAAGAATGTATATTCTGTTGATTTGGGGTGGAGAGTTTTGTAGATGTCTATTAGTTCTGCTTGGTCCAGAGCTGAGTTCAAGTCCTGAATGTCCTTGTTAATTTTCTGTCTCTTGATCTGTCTAATATTGACAGTGGGGTGTTAAAGTCTCCCACTATTATTGTGTGGGAATGTAAGTCTCTTTGTATATCTCTAAGGACTTGCTTTATGAATATGGGTGCTCCTGTATTAGGTGCATACATATTTGGGATAGTTAGCTTTTCTTGTTGCATTGATCCGTTTACCATTATGTAATGCCCTTTTTTGTCTTTTTTGATCTTTGTTGGTTTAAAGTCTGTTTTATCAGAGACTAGGATTGCAACCCCTGCTTTTTTTTGGCTTTCAATATGCTTGGTAAATCTTCCTCCATCCCTTCATTTTGAGCCTATGTGTGTCTTTGCACGTGAGATGGGTCTCCTGAATACAGCACACCAATGGGTCTTGAGTCTCTATCCAATTTACCAGTCTGTGTATTCTAACTGGGGACTTAACCCATTTACATTTAAGGTTAACATTGTTATGTGTGAATTTGATCCTGTCATTATGATGTTATCTGGTTATTTTGCCTGTTAGTTGATGCAGTTTTTTCATAGCTTCAATAGTCTTTACAATTTGGTATGTTTTTGCAGTGGCTGGTACCAGTTTTTCTTTCCATATTTGGTGCTTCCTTCTGGAGGTCTTGTAAGGCAGGCCTGGTGGTGACAAAAATCTGTTAGTATTTTCTTATCTGTAAAGGATTTTATTTCTCCTTCATCTATGAAACTTTGTTTGGCTGGATATTAAATTCTGGTTTGAAAATTCTTTTCTTTAAGAACGTTGAATATTGGCCCCCACTTCTTTCTGGCTTGTAGGGTTTCTGCAGAGAGATCCACTGTTAGTCTGATGGACTTCCCTTTGTGGGTAACTACTTGACCTTTCTTCCTGGCTGACCTTAACATTTTTTCCTTCATTTCAACCTTGGTGAATCTGACAATTATGTTTCTTGGGGTTGCTCTTCTCGAGGAGTATCTTTGTGGTGTTCTCTGTATTTCCTGAATTTGAATGCTGGCCTGTCTTGCTAGGTTGGGAAAGTTCTCCTGGATAATATCCTGAAGAGTGTTTTCCAACTTGGTTCCATTCTCCCCGTCACTTTCAGGTACACCAATCAAACGTAGGTTTGGTCTTTTCACATAGTCCCATATTTCTTGGAGGATTTGTTCATTCCTTTTCAATCTTTTTTCTCCAATCTTGTCTTCACGCTTTATTTCATTAAGTTGATCTTCAATCCCTGGTATCCTTTCATCCACTCAATTGATTTGGCTATTGATACTTGTGTATGCTTCATGAAGTTCTCGTGCTGTGTTTCTCAGCTCCATCAGGTTATTTATGTTCTTTTCTAAGGTGGTTATTTTAGTTATCAATTCCTCTAACCTTTTTCAAGGTTCTTAGCTTCCTTGTTTTGGGTTAGAACATGCTCCTTTAGCTCAGAGGAGTTTGTTACTACCCATCTTTGGAAGCCTACTTCTGTCAACTTGTCAAACTCATTCTCCATCCAGTTTTGCTCCCTTGCTGGCAAGGAGTTGTGATACTTTGGAGGAGAAGAGGTGTTCTGGTTTTTGGAATTTTCAGCCTTTTTGCTCTGGTTTTTCCTCATCTTCTTGGACCTATCTAACTTTGTTCTTTGATGTTGGTGACCTTCAGTTGGTGTTTTTGGGTGGACATCCTTTTTGTTGATGTTGATGCTATTTCTTTCTGTTTGTTAGTTTTCCTTCTAACAGTCAGGCCCTTCTGCTGCAGGTCTGCTGGAGTTTGCTGCGGGTCCACTCCAGACCCTGTTTACCTGGGTGTCATCGCAGATGCTGCAGAACAGCAAAGACTACTGCCTGTTCCTTCTTCTGGAAGCTTTGTCCCAGAGGGGCACCAGCCAGATGCCAGCTGGAGATCTCCCGTATGAGGTGTCTGTCAACCCCTGCTAGGAGGTGTCTCCCAGTCAGGAGGCACAGGCATCAGGGAGCCACTTGAGGAGGCAGTCTGTCCCTTAGCAGAGTTCAAGCGCTTTGCTGGGAGATCTGCTGCTCCCTTCAGAGATGGCAGGCAGGAACATTTAAGTCTGCTGAAGCTGTGCCCACAGCCGCCCTTCCCCCCAGGTGCTCTGTCCCAGGGAGATGGGATTTTTATCTATAAGCCCCTGACTGGGGACGCTGCCTTTCTTTCAGAGATACCCTGCCCAGAGAGGAGAAATCTAGAGAAGCAGTCTGGCTATAGCTGCTTTGCTGGGTTGCAGTGGGCTCTGCCCAGTTCAAACTTCCTGGTGGTTTTATTTACACTGTGAAGAGAAAAGTGCCTACTCAAGCCTCAGTAATGGCGGATGCCCCTACCCCAACCAAGCTCGAGTGTCCCAGGTCAACTTCAGAGTGCTGTGCTGGCAGCAAGAATTTCAAGCCAGTGGATCTTAGCTTGCTGGGCTCCATGGGGGTGGGATCCACTGAGATAGACCACTTGACTCCCTGGCTTCAGCCCCATTTCCAGGGGAGTGAATCGTTCTATCTTGCTGGCATTCCGGGTGCCACTGGGGTATGAAAAAAACTCCTGCTTCTACCTCAGTGTCTGCCCAAATGGCTGCCTAGTTTTGTGCTTGAAACCCAGGGCCCTGGTGGTGTAGGCACCCAAGGGAATCTCCTGGTCTGCAGGTTGCAAAAACCATGGGAAAAGCCTAGTATGTGGATCAGAATCCACCATTCCTCTTGGCACAGTCTCTCATGGCTTCCCTTGGCCGGGGAGGGAGTTCCCTGAACCCTTCCACTTCCCGGGTGAGGTGATGCCCCACCCTGCTTTGGCTCATCCTCCGTAGGCTGAACCCACTGTCTAACCAGTCCCAATGAGATGAGCCGGGTACCTCAGTTGGAAATGCAGAAATCACCCACCTTCTGCGTTGGTCTTGCTGGGAGCTGCAGACTGGAGTTGCTCTTATCTGGCCATCTTGCCAGCCACCCTCTAAAGTTTGGTGAAGCCTTTAATTGAAAAATTTGAGTCTAGTCATATATATATATATATATATATATATATATATATATATATATATATGTATATATGTAATTTTTGCCTCATCCTACCCCTGCTTGCTTTTGTGGTACAAAGCAATAATCTCTCATCATTTATTTAATATTTTTCTCCTTTTGAATTTTATTATAACATGTAAATTTACTTCTCTCAAACTTCTATTTACTTCTGGACTAAAAAGTATGCTTCTGAATAGGGTTCTGTCTTTTTCACAGTAGAATTTTTGTTTTAGAACTAGAAAGGAAGTCAGCTTGGCATTATGTAGCACATTTAAAAAAAATTAGTTCTTGCAAAGCTCTGGTATTTTTCTTTGCCTTATTTAGTTGATAACTAATATAGTTTGCCTAATAACTCCCTTTGGAAGCATTCAGTGGGTCACGGTAGTCTCAAATCTCAAAAGCACTTTCTCCATTACAATAGAGAGATTTTAAAATCTAAGGTTCCTCATGTGGCAATGAACATTTATGAACAATGGCAAAATTGGTTAGTCTTACTAGGAGAGGGAGGATGGCTACTTTGTGAGAGTAACATAAGATCCCTGAAGGCTTAAATTTCTGGAGCTCTTCATATATATACAAGAAACAAGAAGAAAGAGACAATAGAAAAAATATTGCAACTATTTTACTTGTTCACCTGATATCTTAGATTGCAGTTGAATAGACAGGTCAGAGTATTAGCAGGAATAGCCACAGGCTAAGGTCTAAATTCAGCAGTGGGGCACTGTGTATTCTCTCTCCTAATAGATCTCCATCTGCATTTAATGCTTGGGATTACTTTACTGGTGAACTAAACCTTTAATTCTATTATAATTTTCCATAGACTCAAGAGAATTGACATCTGGTGTTAAAAAACAAAAAATCATACAAATGACTGATATGTATCATTTTCCTTATTAAATATGGAAGAAAGGGGAGGAGGATGCAGAAATGGTTGGCTAAAAGCTCCAGAGAAAAACTTAACAGATTTTATGATTTTGCGGAAGGTAAGTCCTTGACCTCTTCATTTTCACATTCAGCAGGTATGAAAGTTTCTTCTGTTACATATGGTTCTATCATTCATTCATAGAATTTTGACAGAAAGCTGTAGAACTGAAAAAAAGCTTGATATACAAACTACTAGCTGTATTGGCAATTTTACATGAAGGCATTACTGACCCTCCACAGCTTCTTTCTATTAACCATTCAGATTTATGCAACTACCATTATCCCAGGGGTTACTCAAAGACATTGACAAAAGATCTAGCAGCATTCTGTCCATTCAATATAACTACTTTTAACATCTAAATATTTTCAGGATTAACTTTGGTTGAAGCATACTTGAATGAATTACATATTAATACCATCATCACCTCATTTGATCCTCATGTTACCCCCATCAGACCCAAAGAGTCAATACATTAAACTATTTGGTAGATGAAAACTCAGGCTTCTGAAAGCTAAGTGACTTTGCCAGAATCACACAGTAAGTTAATTGCTCAGTCAAGGCATGAGAGTCAGATAAATGATTCCCAAACCAGGGATCCTTTTATGTTATTACATTGCCTAAAAAACTGGCATTCAAATGGAATTTAGAGGGCATTTAATCTGGCCATCTCATTTGATTGATGAATAAATTTTCTGGCTAAGAATCTACACATTTGTTTAGTGCTTTATATACTCAGCATCAGCATCAGTATAAATTAAATTTTCTATTATGTTCTCAGCCTGATTCACACTTTTTAGAAAATATAAAACTTATTTCATACTCAAATAATTTACTAACCTTGTGTAGTTAGTAAATTATTACTACTAATATTACATCTCTATTTTTGAAATTTACATTCAATATATTTATTTCATTAGGATGCTACTAATGAAATTAACTTTTTTTTAAAAAAAAGGTGAATCATCTCATTTTTATCAGGTTCACTACATATATATGAAGTAGTTGATAAATGACTCAGCGTTGGCCAATTGCAAGAATACCACTTAAAAGTAAATGGTTATTACTGAAGAGTGAATTATATATTTTCATTTTGTAGACTTAACATTTAAAATGGAAGATGGTGGGAAGCACACACATTTCTCAGTCTTGTTGGAAAAGCAAATGACAACGAGATTTTCTGTTTCTTGTTTCGTTTTGTTTTTAGATGCATTAGCAAGACAGGTGTGGGTAGAATGGAGTAGCCATGAACATAGACAAAAAGTGGAGAGAGTGAAAACATATCAGAGTGAAAAAACATAGATAAATGTAAGGGAGAAGAAAGAAAAAAAAATAAAGAACAATATTTAAAGAGAACAAAATAAATAGAGCCAGAAAGAAACAGAGAAGGGGAAAAGAACAGGCAACAAATTAACAGGGAAAAGAAATCACAACCAGAAAAAAAAAGAAAATGAACTGCTTATTGATGAATAAAGAAAGAGAGAAAAAGAAAAATAAGGAAGGAGGCGGAGTAAGCACATAAGATCTCTAAACACTTGGCTCCAGCAGCCCATCTGACCACACTCAGACTCCAGGCATGCACACACAGAGTTGCCTGGAGATGTTTCTGTGTCTCCACCTTGCAAATGTGGTGAACCCTTCTCCTTCATCTTCCCTATTTCTGCAGTGTGTCATCATGGCCAGAAACTGATCAATCCACGAATTAGCTGAAGTGGCAAGAACGATTAGAGATACAGTGAGGAAGGTATGGTACAGAGTTTTGACAGAACTTTCTCTACTAATTTGGCTAAAATAGAACACTTTACTCTGATGACGTCATCATTTATGGATTTTTTTTTTTTGGTAGAAACTTATTTTATTTTGCTTAGAGGAATGCTCATCTGATTAGTCTCCGCGTCTATTCCAACCACAATTTAGAGAAGGTAGAGATAATTCAAAGATGGAAGTGGGACAGGGAAGAAAGTTGATCAAGATGTCAAGTAGTACAGAATCCCATCTGTTAAGAAACAGTGGAAAAATAACAGTGAGGCTGGGACACAGGCAGAATGGAAGAGCTTATAACCTTCAATTTCAAAGTCCTTCAGAAATCCTCAAATGTCTCAGGGATATTGTTAAATGCTAACACATCAAGAAATACCTCACTCTATGTTAGCATGTGGGATGCATAAAACATATAAGTAAGTACAGTTGACTCCAGAAAAACATGGGTTTGAACCACACGTGTCCACTTATATGTGGATTTTCTTCCACCTCTGCCACCCCTGAGACAGCAAAACGAACCCTTCCTTTTCCTTCTCCTCAGCCTACTCAGTGGGAAGACGACAACGATAAGAACTTTATGATGATTTGCTTCCACTTAATGAACAGTATTTATATCTTCCTTTCCTTATGATTTTGTTATATTTTATTTTCTGTAGCTTAATTTATTGTAGGAATATAGTATATAATACATAAAACAAAAATATTTGTTATTCAACTGTTTATGTTACCAGCAAAGCTTCTGATCAACAGTAATCGTTAGAAGCTAAGTTTTTAGGGAGTCAGGGTATGTGCTAATTTTTTATTGCACAGGGGATCTGCCCCCTTAACTCCTGCATTGTTCAATTGTCAACTGTAGAAGGGGCTCTTGATTTAAGGAAATATTTATATAGGCAGATAGTAGAATAAATGTTGAGACAAATGGCTGGCAAAGGGGGAAAAGGTTAAGACATGAGCAGAAAAGCTCATTTGAAGGATCTACAAAATATTTTTTCCTATTACAATTTTGCATGTGTTTGTATGTGTGTGCATACGTGTGTGTTCATGTGGTATTTGCATATGTATATATGATGATGTGTTAAAATATGACTTTCATAAATTCCACATGTGGCTGCCAGTAACACCCAGAAATTTCTGTATTAACCACTCTATTCCACTCTAGGGATACATAAAGCAGATAGTTTTAATGCTTCTTAAAATATGTACCCTAAGATGACACTATATAGATGTGCTGTCTGTCTTTTGGTGTTTGTTTGCTTGTTTGTTTGCTTGTTTGGTGTTTGTTTGCCTGATTTTCTATTTCTCTCTTCTTTCTTCCCTCATCCTCTATCTTCTTGTCTTTCTTTTCTAGGTACTGTTGCAGTAGCATTTTCTGTCAAAGATTTTCCCTTCCTTCCGTACCCCATGTGCTAGAGCACTTATTTATTTATTTATTTATTTATTTATTTATTTATTTTGAGACAGAGTCTCGCTCTGTCACCCAGGCTGGAGTGCAGTGGCATGATCTCGGCTCACTGAAAGCTCTGCCTCCCGGGTTCACACCATTCTCCTGCCTCAGCCTCCTGAGTAGCTGGGACTACAGGCAACCACCACCACTACGGCTAATTTGTTTGTATTTTTTTAGTAGAGACGGGGTTTCACCATGTTAGCCAAGATGGTCTCGATCTCCTGACCTCGTGATCCACCCGCCTTGGCCTCCCAAAGTGCTGGGATTACAGGCATAAGCCACCACGCCCGGCCGCTAGAGCACTTATTTAAAACAAATACACTGTTTAGTTAAATCATATTAAGAATATCCTTTTATATTACAGTTTGTATTTTGTTGTAGGCCAACAATTTTCAAACTTAAAAAATTTACTCCCCTAAGACATTTTTTGAATATATAACCTTAAATGTATGCATATTTATTTATAAAGTATATATAAACCATTGTACTATGTTATCCATTATAAATATTAAAAAGTGAATTTAGAAAAGAATGAAATGTAGTGATACATATAAAATGTTATACACTGACTAAATATAGATAAATTACTATGTTCTTTCTATACTTCAGTGGATTATCATGTGCACCTTCTGGAATGAGTATACCCCATGAAAACAATCTGAATTTTAAATATGAATTTTCTTCACAATGGACATTGTTTTTCTTTTTATTTAAACAAGGTTGAACTTACAAATCAAAGCAATACGGGAGTGATTTTAGACTAGCAATATTATCTTTAGTTATTCAGATGCACAAAAAGAACATTCATTCATTGAAGCTGTGATTAAAAAATTCTTTATCTATTTAAACTGAATAGTATACACTTGCATTATCCTACTACTTATCAAGCAGAGCAAAAAATAAAACTCACTCTAAACTTAAGTAATATAACTACAGGTTATTTCTCATCTTTGAAATGGAAGAATAACACTACAGTATCTTTATGGCTACTTACAGTGTATCTATGCTATGATCTTATGAGTTGAGATAATGATATTTTAAAGTTTTATACTTGCAAATTTTATATTGTAGCATATTTTTTGTTAAAGGGCTGTATCTTGGGTGTCATACTTGGAACAGAGAAAGAAATGTGTTGTGAGTTTATTAGTATTTGAAACTCAAAAAGTGCTAAATAAGCTGCATGCAGGTGTGGAGTGGCCACAGGAGTGGTGTTCAAACAGAGTTACAGCTGGAGCACTGTGCCTGTGTTAGGTCAAAAGTGGAGCTATAGCTTGGGATTCTCGTGAACAGTCTGGGAAAAGAGTATTCAAGGATATCAGACCAAAAGGAGTATAGTAAGAAGTAAATTAGATGATAAGACAGAGGGCAAGGAAGAGAGTTACCAGCTAGGAACTGGGAATTACACAGGAATTGAGGGAAGAAACTGTCTAGGAAAATTTGGGGGTGGTGTGGACAAGGAGAAAAAGGGTCTAATCCCAAGAAAAGAACTAACCCTCAAGCATAGTATATCCAAAAAACTCAAAGACCTTCAGATTTGAAGTTAGGTTGTGTCTCCATTAGGAAACTTACATGATTTAGGAATGTAGGAATCCCAACGTGGAGGATACCAGACTCCTAACATGGAAAATGATTCTGTAGAAGCACATGGTTGAATGGGAATAAAACTGTAGCTTTGAGAACCATATTTTGTTTTCATTTTTCATTTTAAATTTGGAGAAATTAAGGTAACAGAGTTTCCCCAGAATAGGAGAGGGATGGGAAGTGTTGTTTTTAGCTGAAGTACTATATGTGCCAAATATTTTTTAGCTGTAGAACTAGTATCTAGTTGGAAGACATAGCAATAACAATTAATTCTGCTTCTTAATGTACTGCAGGCCAGGGAAATGGAAAGCGAGAACAGAACAGTGATAAGAGAATTCATCCTCCTTCGTTTGACCCAGTTTCGAGATATTTAGCTCCTGGTCTTTGTGCTAGTTTTAATATTCTACTTCTTCATCCTCCCTGGAAATTTTCTCATTATTTTCACCATAAGGTCAGACCCTGGGCTCACAGCCCCCCTCTATTTATTTCTGGGCAACTTGGCCTTCCTGGATGCATCCTACTCCTTCATTGTGGCTCCCAGGATGTTGGTGGACTTCCTCTCTGAGAAGAAGGTAATCTCCTACAGAGGCTGCATCACTCAGCTCTTTTTCTTGCACTTCCTTGGAGGAGGGGAGGGATTACTCCTTGTTGTGATGGCCTTTGACTGCTACATCACCATCTGCCTGCCTCTGCAGTATTCAACTGTCATGAACTCTAGAGCCTGCTATGCAATGATGTTGGCTCTGTGGCTTGGGGGTTTTGTCCACTCCATTATCCAGGTGGTCCTCATCATCCGCTTGCCTTTTTGTGGCCCAAACCAGCTGGACAACTTCTTCTGTGATGTCCGACAGGTCATCAAGCTGGCTTGCACCGACATGTTTGTGGTGGAGCTTCTGATGGTCTTCAATAGTGGCCTGATGACACTCATGTGCTTTCTGGGACTTCTGGCCTCCTATGCAGTCATTCTTTGTCGCATACGAGCGTCTTCTTCTGAGGCAAAAAACAAGGCCATGTCCACATGCACCACCCATATCATTGTTATATTCTTCATGTTTGGACCTGGCATCTTCATCTACACGTGCCCCTTCAGGGCTTTCCCAGCCGACAAGGTGGTTTCTCTCTTCCACACAGTGATTCTTCCTTTGTTGAATCCTGTCATTTATACCCTTCATAACCAGGAAGTGAAAGCTTCCATGAAAAAGGTGTTTAATAAACACATAGCCTGAAAAAGGGCAAAAAAAAAAAAAAGAATAAAAATAGACTGTAGAATTTTATCTGAAATTGATTTGTTTATTTCCAAGTACTGCAATCATTGAATACCTCCCATTTGTCAGGACTATTCTAGGAACTGAAGAAAGAAAGTATTGAGGCAGATAAGGTCTATCTGCTCTCCAAGAGATACAACCTAGTAAAAATAGACCGCCGTTAAGGTAGAAAATAAACAGCATAGTTTCAGGAAGAGATACTGCTCTGTAAAAACTAAAACGAAAAGTGAAATGATAAACTGTGACTCTGGATTGGGAGTAACCAATTTGTGTTTAATAATAAAAAAAGGCCTTGAAGAGCTGACATTTTGGATCATATCTGGATAAACTGAAGAAGCCAAACATGCAAACATTTGTGGCTATAGTATGGTAGACAGAGGGCACAGGCAGTGCAAAAACTCAAAGATGATGATGAACTTGGTATATTTGAAGAATACAATAAAGTCCATGTTACCAAGAATATAGTAATTTAATGTGAAAATGATTAAACTTAAAGTTAGAGATACTGGTAGTGTCAAAAACATATGGTCTACATAGTAAATGTGAGTTTTCATTTTATTACAATTACAATAAGAAGCCATTCTGTGGCTTTAAGCAAAAGAGTGATTCCTCTACTGAAGGGTCATAAATGACTTAGGGCTGTAAACTCAAGATTCTATGCAGATATCAAAGAGTTGAAAAATATCATTAAGAGGAAAATATTATATTTGTAAGTGCACTTTGAAAGATATTAAACTACCAATTTTTCTTACATACATAAGCAGAGAGTGGCAAAAGAAAGCTGGTTACTTTTACTGAAAAAGATCAAAAAAAATTTTACTTTTTTTTTCTGGAGCTTCATTATTAATCCTAGCAAATTTTTATGACTTTTAGCTGTATGTTTGACCTTATTGCCAATTGATTTCACTGTAAGTTTAATAATGACAGTCTTTTCATAGACCAATCAGGATTTTGTGTCAGAGAGAAGAAACCATTCCAGCTATTTTAAACAAAACATCATTTAATATCAAGAGAGGTGTTCACAAAATCACTGCCAAGTCTAGAAGAGCAGACTATAGGCTGGACACCCAGAGATGACTTACAGACTAACACAGGTGACCTATGTTGTCAGGGAAGTTGTTCTTGCTACAATCTTAGCCATCTGTTGTCTGAAAAACACTACAATTTTAGCCATGTGCCTGGGATCAAGTTGATGATCCGGAATCACTTTGGACCTAACAAATCGCCCCTAGTATAACAGAAGCCTATCCTACTGCCTCCCTTTAACTAGCTTACTACATATTCAAATCTCAAATGAGTGCATTAAATGGGCAGCATCCAAAACATCTGGAACCCCAAATGCAAGGGGGTCAAAAATTGAGTTTTAAAATATTTTATTTTTGATAAAAACCAAAGTTTATACTTAGGAATATAAATTTTGTACATGGTAAAAATATTCAGACTATAGAAAAAGTGGTCTGAATCTTCAAATAATCCTTCTCTATTATCACTCTGTTTATTGTGTTGCTTCCTGTTTTACTGAGAAAGGTAACAGGTGAGAATTCCTTAATCTCCCATCACTACCACTATACAACCTGCATCTGTGATTAAGTTTCCTTTAACTTCTCCTGAAACTGGGTGACCTGATCCTGCTCCTACAGAAGTAAACCCTTCCACCTGTGCACCAGATTCCATCCCGTCCTCTCTACTAAAGGCAATTACTCTGGTAACTCTCCTTTCTCTCACCTATAACATGAACTTTGTCCTCCCTATTGGGTGTAACCTTTAGCGTGTAACCGCATTTATTCCCTCCTAAATAAAACCTTCTTGCCACCTTTTCCCCTGTCCATGTCACTTCATGAGTCTTTGTGTCTCCACATGAATTTTAGGATTTTTAAAAATTTCTTTAAAAAATGATGTTGGGATTTTCACAGAGATTGTATTGAATCTATAGATTGCTTCAGGTAGTGTGGATATTTTAACAATATTAATTGTTCTATTCCATTAACACAGAAAGTCTTTCCGTTTATTTCCATCTGCTTTAATTTCTTTCATCAATGTTTTACAGTTTAAGTGTACAAGTCTTTCACCTCTTTGTTTAAGTTTACTCCTAAATATTTTATTTTTTGGTTCTAATGGAAATGAGATTAATTTCTTAATTTCCCTTTTAGATAGTTCTTTTTTATTGTATAGAATTGAAATGATTTGTTTCTTTTGTAGATTTTTAAATTTATAAATATTTAATTGACACATAAAGATCAAATATATTCAAGGTATATGAAATGATAATTTGATATACATATACATTGTATAATGATTACCACAATCAAATTAACACATTAATCACCATCCATGTTGTACATTAGTTACCAAGAATGTGTTTATCTTAGGGCTGAAAGTTTGTACCATTTGACCAACATATTCCCCTTTTCTCTGACTTCAAAACCCTCTGACAACCACTGTTCTACTCTCTCCTTCAATGAGCTTTTTTTTTTTTTTTTCAGATTCTACATGTAAGTGAGATCATATAGTGTCTGTCTTTCTGTGTCTGGCTTATTTCACCTACCGTAATGTCTATTAGGTTTATCTATGTTGCTGCAAAGGGCAAAACTTCCTTCTTTCTTTGGCTGGATGATAATCTATCACATATATGTACCACAATTTTTATACTCATTCATCAATTGATGTACACTTGGGTTGTTTCCATATTTTGGCTATAGTGAATGATGCTGCAGTGAACATAGCAGTATAGTTATCTTTTAGAGATACTTATTTCATTTCCTTTGGGTATATATCTAGAAGTGAGATTGCTGGAACATATGGAAGTTTTATTTTTTATTTTTTGAAGAACATCTATATTGTTTTCCATAATGCCTGTGCCAATTTACATTCCCATCAATACTGTGAAAGGGTTCCCTTTTCTCCACATCCTTACCAACACTTGTTATCATGTGTCTTCTCATAATGGCCATTACAGTAGGTATGAGGTGATGTTTCATTGCGGTTTTAATTTCATTTTCCCAATGGTTGATGATGTTGAGCACCTTTTCATATACATGTTGGCTATTTCTATGTCTGTTTTGGGAATATGTCTGTTAAAATCTTTGCCAATTGTAAAAATCAGGTTGTTTGTTGTTTTACTGTTGACTTGCGTACTTCCTAATATATTATGAGTATTAACCCCTTATCATACATATGGTTTACTAATATTTTCTCCCATTCGATAGGTTACCTTTTAATTTGGTCAATTGTTTCTTTTGTGGCGCAGTGGAATTTTTAGTTGATATAGTCCCACTTGTTTATTTTTTGTTGCCTGTGCTTTTGTGGTCATATCCAAAAAATGATTGCCAAGACTGTTGTCAAGGTGTTTTTTCCTTATGTTTTCTTCTGGTAGTTTTACAGTTTCAGGTTTTACATTTAAATCTTTAATTCATTTCCAGTTAGTTTTAGTATATGTCATAAGACAAGACTTCAGTTTCTTTCTTTTGCATGTGGATATTTAGCTTTTACAACAGCATTTATTAAATAGACTTTTCTTTTCCCATTGTGTATTATTGGCACCCTTGTCAAATCTTAGTTGGCCATATATGTGTGAATTTATTTTTGGGCTCCCTACTGTGTTCCATTGTTATGTGTCATGTTTTTATAGTACCATACTGTTTTAATTAATATGGCTTTGTAGTAGAGTTTGAAGCAGTGAGTGTGATGCTTCCAGCTTTGTTCCTTTTTCTCAAAATTACTTTGGCTATTTAGAGTCTTGTACAAGTACATACAAATTTGGTTTTGTTTTTTCCATTTCTATGATGAATGCCATCGGAATTTTAATAGGGACTTGATAGAATCTGTAGGTAATTTAATTATTTTAGATATTTTAACAATATTAATTTTTTAAAATTAATGTACATAGGTATATTTACTTTTAATTCTCTTTTTCCATTTATTTCATCAATGTATTATAGTTTTCAGTGTACAGAGATTAAACCTCCTGGTTGAATTTATTCCTAAGTATTTTGTTTTAATTTTTTATAGTTATAAATGGGATTGTTTTCTTGACTTCCTTTTCAGATAATTCATTGTTACTGTTCAGAGATACCACTAGTTTTTGTATGTTCATTTTTTAATCTGCAGCTTTATGAACTCACTTATTCTAGAAGGTTTTTTTGAGGACATCTTTAGGATTTTCTCGATATAAGATCACGTCATCTGCAAACAGACAATTTTACTTCTTCTTTTGCAATTTGGTTGCCTTTTATTTCTTACCTACTTACTCTAGCTAGTACTTTCAGTAATATATTGAGTAGACTCGGTGAGAGTGGGCATCCTTATTTTCTTTCTGATCTTAGAAGGAAAGCTTTCAATTTTTCACCATTGAATATGATGTTAGCTGTGCGATTGTAATATGTGGCATTTATCACTGTGGTAGGTTCCTTCTAAGCATAGTTTTTATGATGAAGGATGTTGAATTTTGTCAATGCCTTTTCTGCATCTATTGAGGTAACCATATGGTTTTTGCCTTTCATTCTGCCAATGTGGTATATCACATTTATTGATTTGCATATGTTCAAATATCACTGTGCTTGCTAACCATGAATTATCCTTTTAATGTGCTGCCAGATTTAATGTGTTAGTATTCTGGCATTTATGTTCATCAGAGACACTGGATTGAACTTTTCTTTTAGTATCCACCTGTGGCTTAGGTATCAGAGTAATGCAGGCCTTCTAAAATGAGTATGCCTATTCAATTTCAATAAATTGGTATTAGTTCTTTTTCAAATGTTTGGTAAAATTTAAAACAGAATCCATTAGGTCCTGGGCTTTTCTTTGCTGTGAGATTTTTGAAACTATTGATTCAATTTTATTCCTTATTGATCGGTTAAGATTTTTTATTTCCTCTTAATTTAATTTTGACAAATTGTGTCCAGAAATTTATCTATTTCTTCAAGGTTATTCAATTTGTTGTAGTATAGTTGTTAAAACTTACACAAATTAAGTTTTTTCTATAATTTTTGACATATTTATAATATCATGTATTCATTTCTACAGCATTAGAAAGAATAATTTCTTCACCCTAAATTGTTCTTCAACTTAAATTATTCCACTCTTCTTTCTTCTCCTTGTACTCTTGGTAACCACCAGTCTTTTACTGTCTCTATAGTTTTAATTTTTCTAGAATGTCATACAATTGGAGTCATACAGTATATAACCTTTCAAAACTGGCTTCTTTCAGCTAGCATTATGCATTTAAGATTCATTCATGCTTTTTTATGGCTTGGTAGTTAATGACCTTTTTATTGCTGAATAACATTCTATTGTAAATATAGCACAGTTTGTTTATTCATACACTCGTTGAAGAACATTGTGATTGTCTCCAATTTTTGGCTGTTAGGGAATGAAGTTGCTGTAAACATTCATGACTGGGTTTTTGTGTACACATGTTTCAAATCAGTTGGGTAAGTGCCTGGGAGTGTGATCATATGGTAAGGCTATGCTCAGCTTTGTAAGAAACTTCCAATTTGGTCAAGATGTCTGACTAGTTGCAGACAGATAGAACAGCTGTCACTGTGGGACTGGGATGACTGGCACAGTCCTAACAGGTCCTCAAGACACAAAAGCTGGGCAGAAGCTGGGTGGGGCTACCGTGCAATGGGACTCGTTCCTCACCCCCAAGAACTTTGGGGGAATGGGTGAGTTGAACTGGCAAGAAGCAACCTACTCTTGCCACAAGCCTCTGGAATCCCACCGGGAGGAGACCCCTCAACCACTACAGACACAGAGTTGGCAGGGGAAGTGCTTAGAGGAGTGGTAGGAGCAGCATGGTAGCCGATATGGAGCCCAGAGGGTTTGTTGCAGGAACATCTATAGCAGAGCACGGCCAGGGATACCCATCTCTCCAGACTTGACTTGCCTCCATAGGAGACTTTAGCCCTAGGGGAACTGTCAGATATGAATTCTGCAGGGCAGTCTTCCCATCAGATGGGGCAGATCCAACCTTAGTACCCCCTGGTCTGCTGACCTCTCCCAGTGCTCCAGCCTGGTTTTTTTCTGCTTGCAGTACAGACTCAGGTTCCCTGGGGACCCGCATCTTAGCTTCTGCAATGGCAGACCATATCTAATTGGTGGAGAGCTCCAGCGGGGTGGCCCCTAGGGCCATGCACCAACCTGCCTGCTCCCTCCCTCTGCTGCAGCTTCTTCCAAGCCCATGGCCAACCACCCCTGCCCCCTGACATCATTTGGCTGGCTTGTATGTGTGCAGGTGGATTTTCCCTTCCCTTCACCACCAGCTTGTGTGAGCACGTGTACGCTGCCCTGCCTCTGCTGCCAGCAGGAGTGCACTCTGCTCCCCTTCCTCGGCCATACTACCATTGCAGTCAGAGCTGTAGTGGGCACAGAGCCCACCAGTCCTGCCTCTGTCAGTGACCTGCCCCTGTGCCAACACTGCCACCAGAATGAAACTAGGCACTGAAAACAATGAACCCTCCCCTGCCCTGAGTAGCCACAGAGGGTGCACACACACCTGAACCCACCAGTGTCCTGCCCCCATACTAACACCACCATCAGTGCACCAATGCACACAGTCACCAATGGGGGCCTGCTGACCCCCCAAGTTATGCTGACTCTACCCCTGCTGTCAATGCCTTCATGGAGGCAGGCATCTCAGCACCTGCTAGCAGTCTGCTGCAGCTGACAAGCATGCATCCTGATTTAATACTGCTGGTTCTGGTGCTGCTGAGGGCACCTGTGAATGAGGACAGACCCCCCCCCCCTACTGCCACCACACTACAAAACCCTTTGACTAGCACCATTCCATCAACGTGTAGTGACCAGCAGTCCAGGAGCACCTTAGCACCCCCATCACAGTCTGTTCATAATCTTGAGAAGTCAGAGAACAAAGTAGGGTAGGATATAAGTCCCCCAGAATTAAAACATGCAGCTGGGGAGATGACAGCTGAACCTTGGTCCCCAAAATCTTCCAGAAATAAAGCCAGTTGACTGAACCCACTTTATAACACAATCAAACTCTCAAAGTCATCTAATAAGATAAAAAAAAATCCAAAGGACAAGAGCTTCAAAGATTGAAAAAACACTAGCCCACAAAAATGAGAAAAAAACAGTGCAAGAACTCTGACAAGTCAAAAAGCCAGCATGCTGTCTTTCCTCCGAATGCCTCCACCAGCTCTCCACCAAAAGTTTTTAACTGAACTGGGTTGGCTGAAGTGACACAAATAGAATTTGGAGTATGGATAGAAATGAAGAGCAACAAGGTACAGGAGTATGTTGAAACCCAATCCAAGGAAGCTAAGAATCACAATAAAACAATGCAGGAGCTGACAGACAAAATAGACAGTATAGAAAAGAACATAACTGACCTGATAGAACTGAAAAACACACTGCAAAAATTTCATGATGCAATCACAACTATTAACAGCAGAATAGACCAAGCAGAAGAAATGATATTAGTGCTTTAAGACTGGCATTCTGAAACAAGACAGGCAGACAAGAATAGAGAAAAAAGAATGAAAAGGAAGAAACAAAACCTCTGATAAATATGTTTATGTAAAGAGAACAAATCTATGATTCACTGGTGTCCCTGAAGGAGATGGGGAGAATGGCAGCAACTTGGAAAACATATTCCAGGATATCATTCATGAGAACTTCCTCAACCTAGCTAGAGAGGCTAACATTCAAATTCAGAAAATACAAAAACCCATTTAAGGTACTTCACAGGAAGATCACCTCCAGGACACATAATTATCAGATTTTCCAAGGTTGAAATGAAAGAAAAAAATGCAAAAGGCAGCCAGAGAGAAAGGTCAGGTCACCTACAAAGGGAAGCCCATAAGACTAAGCAGACCTCTCAACAAAAACTCTACAAACCAGAAGAGGTTGGGGGCCAATATTCAAGATTCTTAAAGAAAAGAAATTCCAAACTAGAATCTTACATCTAGCCAAACTATGCTTCATAAGTGAAGGAGAAATAAGATCCTTTTCAGACAAGCAAATGCTGAGGGAATTTGTTACTACCAGACTGACCTGCCTTACAAGAGCTCCTGAAGGAAGCACTAAATAAGAAAAGGAAATATCATTACCAACCACTTCAAAAATACACTGAAGTACATAGACCAATGACACTAGAAAGCAGCCACACAAACAAGTATGTATGGTAACCAACTAACAGCATGATGACAGGATCAAATCTACACATATCAATACTAACTTTGAATGTAAAAGGGGTAAATGCCCCAATTAAAAGGCACAGAGTGATAAGCTGGATAAAAAAGCAAGACCCAATGGTATGCTGTCTCAAGAGACATGCAGTGACACGCATAGGCTCACATGCAATGACACGCATAGGCTCACATGCAATGACACACATAGGCTCACATGCAATGACACCCATAGGCTCATATGCAATGACACCCATAGCCTCAAAATAAAGGGATGGAGGAAAATCTACTAAGTAAATAGAAAACATAAAAAATACAGAGATTGTAATCCTAATTTCAGACAAAACAGACTTTAAACCAACAAAGATAAAAAAAGACAAAAAAGGGTAATGACATAATGGCAAAGGGTTCAATTCAACAAGTAGTGCTAACTATCCTAAATATACGCGCACTTAACACAGGAGCACCCTGTTCAAACAAATTCTTAGAAACCTACAAAGAGACTTAGACTCACACACAATAATAATGAGAGACTTCAACACCCTACTGACAGTATTAGACACATCACTTAGGCAGAAAATTAGCAAAGATATTCAGGACCTTAACTCAGCACTGGATCAAATGGACCTGATAGATGTTTACAGAACTCTCCACCAAAAAGCAACAGAATATACATTCTTCTCATCACCCCATGGCACATATTCTGAAACTGTTTCATGGAGGAAACTGTTTCATGGAGAGGAAGCCACAGGGCTGACAGGAAACCAGACCTTAACCTCCCTCTGCACCTGCCCTGAGGCTGGCTCTTGTGCTCAGTGGGTCCTGAGCGTCCCCAGGTGGTCCTGTTCCCTCTTCAGGGAGGCTTGTTTCTGGGCTCATACTGACATTTTTTCTAATTGTGTTCCCCAAAATGGAGACAGAGTAAACCGTGAATCCATGCATCTCAGAGAACACAGAACAGCAGAATTACACCCACTGATCCCCCCACACACATTTAGGTAAATCTTATTAAAACTGCTGAAAAGGAAAGACAAATAGAAATATATGCAGGCAAGTGGAGGTGAGCAGAGGGGGCATTCCTTCCAAAAGAACAGAAAAGATGATGACAGCATTCTTCTGGTTAAAACCTTACAAGCAAGAGGAAAGTTGATGGTATCTGTAAAGTGTTGGATGAAAAGTCAACCCATTATTTTATAACGCATGGGTGTTCTCTAAAAAGTGAAAAAAAATTCTATTTCTCTTCGACAGCATGAGGGTTTCAGTGAATCCAGGCCCTCATGAGACCAGTGAAAATTATTTTGAAAAATTACAGGGTTTGGAAAGGCTCTAACAGCATAAAGCAAGTGAAGAAATATTTATTCAAGAAAATCTAGAAAACTCGGTAAGGCCAGTCATCATGCTTGATCTAAGATGATCTTCCTTCCTTCCACATCCCAGCTCAGCATGATGTAAACTCCACTGCCGACAGATGCAGCCAAGAAGACAGGACACCTTCTACCAACTCCCACCAGAGGAAACTCTTCCCCAGGGCCCAGTACGTTGGCCCTCTGACCCTGCACACAGCACATGATGCTGAGGTTCAGTGCTGAACAAGAGCTACCGAGAGCCAGAGACTCACTTCTTCCATGGAGCCCCACTCATGGATGGAGGCTCTGCCCCGGGTCCAGTGCCACTGGGAACACTGGGTCTCTGGTTTCTAGCTCTGTCCTATGGCAGAGGTTCCACCCCACAATAACCGAAGTGCTGAGAAGGTGGGAAGCTCCTGCCCGACCCTCCACTGAGAGCTCAGCTCCTAGGCTGAGGAATAAAACAGCTCAACTTTGTCTACACCTGCAGAACCTTGTTTAGGAGCTCTGTCCCAGGAGAGAGGGAGCAATGGAATTCAGTCATAAAATATGATCCTTAATTAGTCCTAAAAATCCTAACTTCAGTAACAACAGAATGTGGACAAATTGAAAGCCTGCCAGTGCTCTCAAAAACAGTGGATGGTGTGGTGGAAAGCCCTTGGAAGGAGATGGGTGGATGCATGGGAGATGCAGGCTACACTGCAGGGCTGCTGGCTTGCAGGAGAGAACCGAGAATGAGGGAGAGCTGGGGAAAGTTCTCTTGTGGTTGAAACAAATGCCAGACACTCTTCAATGGAGCCCATGTTTGTTTGGTTCAGTCTGTGAAGTAATTCAAACCTCAGTGCATGATTGAAAATAGTACAATTTTCCATCTGCAAGTGGCAGCCCTGGATGACTGGATGGTCTATAATTGGGACACGTATCTAGACTCAACGATGCCTGGATGGAAAATGTGCAGGCTGCTCCACTGATGTCAGCTGTTTCATCACAGTTTTATGATTTAATAAAAGTCATATTTTTTTTCATTTTTGCACATCAAATTTTTTTCTGTGATCCATATTCCTAAGCCCATCTTTGAGCTCACAGCCCTTTCCCAAGAAATCAACATCTAGACCTCCCTCTTCTCGGGGCTCCGAGGTGATTCCTGAGTGGCATCCTCTCCACCTCCCTGCTGGGAACAGAGCCAGTTGCAGGGCTCACGGGCAGCCTTAGAATGTCTGCTCCTCCGGGGTGTCCCCCTGCTTCTCACTGGAGAAGAGGCCTCTGGGGTGGTCACAGCCTCTTTCTCCACATGAACCCTGAGAGTTCTTCCTGAGCTACACAGCTGGGGGAAGACTGCCCTAAGAGACGTGAAAAGAGAGACATGGGAAGTGAGGTGTCTCAGCTCTTGTCTCCCCTGGGTGGTGTGGCCTGACCTCACCAGAGCCCCAGCCTAACCCACCTGACCTGTCCCCAGGAGCTGTACTGAGCGATGGCTGCACCTGCTCAGTTACCTGTGGGGCCCAGTGCCTCTGAGAGAGGTGCCCAGTGAGGGCTCTGCAGGGCTCCCCCCGAGCAGGAGCTGGGCTGAGGGAAATCAGCAGGAGGTAGGGGCTGCCCAGGCCCTGGGGAGGCAGGCAGCGTGGAGAGGACACAGAGGTGCACTGGGAGGGCGCAAGCCAGTCAGGACCACCCTCTCAGCTCTGAGAAATGAGCTATGCTCACGGAATGCTCACAGTCAAATCCTGCTGGGAGGGCCATCCTCTGCTCGGGTTCTCTACTGTCCAGGGCAGGAATGACTCATGTGGCCATTCAGAGGCGAGGCCCCACCAGGAAGCATCCACTGACTGCCCAAGGCTGTGCATCCCCATAGCGCTGAGCTCATGTCCCTGACCTGTGGCCTCTGGGCCCACACTCTGCTCAAAGTTCCCTCAGGGGGATGAAGGGAGAGGCGGGCCCTAGGGCAAGGGTGCCCAGGAGGAGAGAAGGAAAAGGCAAGCATGTCTTCATCAGTGGGGTTTTCTCCTGAGAGCAGAATTCATTTCCACACCTTCCAAGTTCCCTCTTGTGGCTGGCACTTCTCTGACCTGGAGCCCCAGATGGCGGGGCACTCAGAAGAGGGAGGGTCATTCCTGGGAGCAGATAAGGCCTCCTCCTTCTCCAGCTCCTGAATCAGAAACTGAGGCCTCCCCTGGACCTTCCCTGCTTATGACTGAGGCCTCCCACGTGCAAAGCACACCTTCATCTTGCACTGAAGTCTCAGGACCTGGAGAGCACCTCCACACGGGGGGCTGGATCCTCCTGGAACTGTAAGCCTTGCCCAGAAAGCCCTGAAGGGGAGCAGGGAGGCGGCAGCAGCACAGCCTTCTTCAGCTTCCAGGGGAAGGGATGAGGGAGGCGGGTGGACGAGCTTCCAACCGGCATGGCATGGGATGCTGAAAAACGCGATGGGCTCTGGCCTATTGGAGCCATCTCTCCTTGTCCTGTACCTGCCCCTTGGGGGTTTAGGGCAGAGGAAATGTTGGCTTGTTGTGTGAGTCAGATAAACAGGTGGGGAGAATGGGCCCGTATGCCCTGGTTTGCACAGGAAAGGTGTGCTCACCAGCAAGTGTTTCTTCTAGAAATTAAGTAATCCTGGGACAGGCTTTTCCTCCCCAGTTCCACAAGACTCCAAGATGTCAGAGTATCATAAACACGGAGAATAAGGACACAGGATTAACCCAACCCAACCTCTGATGGTTTCATGTCATGTGAAGGAATTTTTGGAGTGTTGATGCTGAAGAGTTTACAGAGTGTGGCTACATCAGTTGCCCTAAAGGATATAGAAAACATTTTACTGTGAGAGTAGAGAGGAGGAACACAAGTAGAAGTATCAAGAGTCGCTGCCAGCCAGCCCATAAATAGGTTTCCCATTTGTATGACAGCCAAGAAACCTGGTCTGAGACAGCTGGGGTCGCAAACAATGTCTTGGTGCAGTTATAAATTTCTTTATGCATGTATTTTTCTAACAATAATATTTTGGTGTCTTTCTTGGGTCAAGGTGGCAGGTCCTCTAGTCACATTGTTGGAGTGCATGGATGGATGGGTTAGTAAATTATTTCTCAAGATTAGTGGTAATCAAAAGGTGGAAGTGTTGGTGGTGGTCGTAGTTCAGAGATGCGGGTTGGGAGTGGGAAAAGTTACTGGGGAGTGGGTGGTTCTCTCCTCATGGTGTCAAAGGGTTGATGGATATGAGGCAGGTTCCTTTGTGTGCAGCAATGACCTCTGCTGATTTTCAGACTGACAGAGATGGTAGTAACCACTATCAGATTTCTCTGTATGAACAGAAATGTAGTGTAGCATGTTGTGGCAAACAGCAAGGAGTGCACTGGGATCCTGGACCAAATGGACAGCAAGCTCAGGGAGCACAATAGGATCCCTAGTATCCAAGGGACAAAAGCAAGGCATGTCCAATGCCTTATTGTTTCATTGAGAGACTTCCCAGGCCATGACTGGTGTTAAGGTTTAGGGCACAACTGTCTCCAGCTCGCCGGGGAAAAGCCAAAGCCACCTCCAGCTTTGAGCCCTGGGCCAGGCCGATGTGCTCTAGGATGGGGTACTAGGGTGTCCTTTCCAGGTGGGCATGTGCTCAAGCGGACTGACTGGCTATCAGCACTTGCCGTGTTTGGTTGAAGTGATGGCCTATTTGGAGGTTTCTGCCCTTTGGATTATAACAAATAAGTCCACAATACAAGCAGCCACATGGACAATGGTGAGACCAGCAGTCAACAGAGGGGTGCTTGGCTGCAGTTGGCAGGTGTTGATGTTGTTTTCATTTGTTTTTTGAGTTTGTTTTTGTGGAACTTTACGTTCAAATGGGCTCATATCAGATGAGCAGCCGACTGACCCACGGGACCCTCTATGGCTAATCATCCGAGGAGAGTTTTTACCCTCAATAGGTTCTCCAGCCCTTATGAGATAAGAGCAACATCAAACATTTGTAAAGATATGGAAATAATATTTTAAATAGCCTCAATAATGCAATGAATATAAGCCTATAAGTATCTCAAAGGGTGATGGAGAAGTCCTGAAAGCTGGGATGAGGGCGACTCAGCTAAGAGCCTTGAATTTAGGGAGAGTTAGTTCTACAGAAGTTGGAGATCCATTGGGTGTCCATTTACTGGAGTGGAATTTGAAGGAATTGTTTGAGGAGATCAGTATGTCTCTGAGTTAAACCAGCCCATAATTAAGTTCTATTGAATGGGGCCTAAGAGGCATGAAGTTCTATCAAGTGGCTTTTTCTGTATCCAGCATTGTGTGTTTTGAAAAGTAAAATGTGTGACTTGGTTACTGTCAGCAAAGTATGCAATTTTGAAGGACATTAGTGTCCCACCAAAGCCTCGTATTGTGAACTTATTATGTGCAGAGATATGAGCCACTTGATTTATATTTTCAGTGTCTGGGAGGCAAGAGACTTTCAGATTTCCTTACCCTGAAGACAGCTCTTAAACAACGTCTGAGCTGTTTATAATAAATGTGGAAATGGAGCCATTGGTTCGATAGGGCACCCAATGCTGGTGTGACTGCCTGATGTCTGCCTAATTTTGGGGATCCCCAGCCCCATCCTTTGTTGGGACATATGGCCAAGAGAGGGAGAGCAGAAGCATGCCCCAAGCCCCATCACTTGTCATCCTTGCAGCCCGCAAATGCCAGTCACTGTCCACTCAGTGAGTCCCAGCGTTCTTCCCATGTGGCCGAGAGGTGGCCTCCTCCAGCACTTGGGCACCTGCCAGGTGACTGTGGATATAGGAAGCCAGTCCTGCTGCAAGCAGAAATGACAGAGGGCCTGGGTGTTGCTTTATCCTGTCTTAAGAAGGCCTCTGGAGCCATGCTAAGTGTGTGGGGTGCTGTTCCCGTGACCCCAAACACAATAGTTAGCTGGATGTGTCCAAATAGTCCAGGTTGTAGACAGCAATGTTCAGTTGAATGATTTATAGTCCAAGGCCAAAGGGAGCAGTTACTTGCCTTGGAAACTGTCGAGCATCTTAAGGCCACATTGATCGCCCAGAGACACCAGGAGGCATGAGAAGGGTTTGCCAAGTTTCTTTAGTGAAGGAGTTTCTGAGGATACTAACAGAAGAGCCTGTTGATTTTAAATTAGGCACACTGTTGAGCCTTTTGTTGAAGGAAATTTCATTTAGGGGAGGTGATTTATAAGTAGCAACAACAGCGAGGCTAGTTGAAATTTATGGGTGAGGAATATGTTGCACCAGAACCCACAAGGAACAGCAGGATGTGGCATTTGTATGTCCTTAATGAAAGTATGGGGAGCATCTCCTCAGAGGAGGTGTCAGCAGTGCTGCGGAGGAAGGCAGATGCAGTGAGGAGCCAGCCTGCGAAGCTCTCATGTGGTGGCCACGCCGCTGAGGTGCCCGCGTATCCTGAGAAGGGTGTCCTTCCCAGGCAAAGACAATCTGCAGCTAAGGGGCTGCTGAGATGGGCGCTGAGTACAACCAATTAGACACATCTGGAAGAGCAAAGTCTGCACTGGCTGTTGGTTAAAGCCAGTCGTTTTGAGAACATTGGGAGTATGGGGCCCTAATGGGTGGGGCCACGGCATGAAAGTTGTGACAATCCAACATAGGGCAACCTTCATGCTATTGTCTTTTCTTCTTCACCGGTTTAAGAACAGGCAAGATTTGGCTGTGAAATAGAGAAGCAATGGGAAAAATCACCTCTTTATTGATTAGATTTGTATAATAGTTTTTAATCTTCGAAGGTCCATTTTCACTTCTGTTGGAATATATTAACTACATAAACTGGAACTCTTTGAGTTCCATTTTATCAAGCCAATGCACAAGTGCCAAACACCTCATTCCATTTTAATTTAATTCATTGTGTCAGAGTGTATGCCCAATATGAGATATTTTAGGACAAAGGACATTATGATCATGTGAAATCTAGGCAAGGCAACCGCTAAAGTGCGGTGTGTCTATTTCTTCTTCCAAATATATTGATTTCTATTTAATTATCTTAAGTTCACATGGGATACATGTTTAAATCTTGAAATCTAATGAATTTCCTAGGTATAGCTATTATTGGAGCCCTGGTATTGATCACAAAGTTTGCCAATTGGTGCAATCCCAAAAATGCTAAAGTGAAATTACAATGGACCAGTATACAGTTCCAAGGTCAGAGTCTGGAAGGCGTTTCACAGAACTAAAGACTTGAGCACCAGCCATGCTGCTTCCTTCTAGAGTTATCTGGGAGAATCTATCTCTTGCCTTTGCCAGCTCCTAGGGGCGCCTGCGTTCCCCGGCTGGTGGCTGTGTGACTGACCTCCGCTTCCATCCCACACCTCCCCAGTCTTGGACTCTGCTGCTCCTCTTTCTCCTCATCAGGACCCCAGGGCATATGGCATGCACAGGCCAGGGTGACTGTAACATCCAAGGGCCTCTATCACGTCAGCCCAGTCCCTTTGGCCCTGCAGGTGATGTCTTTGTAGAGCCCCAGGACTATGGCATGGGCATCTTTGGGGGGCATTCTTCTGCCTGCTGCAGGATCTAGATTCCCCTCTCTAGAACCTGTAGTGTAGAGGGGCACGAAGCCAACCAGCTTCATTTTCAATTTTTGTCTTAGAAGTTATTTCAGTACAGAATTTTGTATATAAACTTTGGATTTCTAATTGGTCAAATGATGGACATTTATTTAAATTTAGTTATATATATACATTATATATACCAAAGTGATATATAATTATATAAATAATTATAATACTGTTATAATTATATAAATAATTATAATACTGTCATAATTATATTAGAAATATACTATTATAATTTTATAATAATTACATTTATATAAAATATCTATATGTAGTTTCATGATTATTTAGTTCCTTTTCATTTTTGGAACCTATGCTAATATTTCCCCTCTATTGCTCCTCTTTCCCTAAGGTCTCGAGTTCCTCTGAGCCTGATGATGAGCCAGGACAGGAAGGGGCCTGGGCCTCCAGGCAGCAGCATCTCTCCAGGATGCCCCCAGCCACAGCATAAGGAATTCCTACACTTTTGTTATCTTAAACAAAACCTTCTAGAATTCCTTCTAACTCTAGGAGACTGAAATGTATTTTTCTTTCTTTCAACTGTCTCCTGTCTGTCCCTGACTCCCTCACTCCGTTTTTTAATGTTTGGCCATTTATCTCATGAGCTTACTAAAAATAAATTGTATACTCAGCAATGGATAACATAGAAGAAATGGATAAATTCCTAGATATGTACAATCTTCCAAGATTGAATCTTGAAAAAGTAGAAACAGAACTATTACTAGTAAAAGACTGAATCAGTAATCGAAAGCGAGCTTGGAACCACTTCCAAAAGTTTTTTTGTTTGTTTGTTTGTTTGTTTTTTGAGATGGAGTCTCGCTCTGTTGCCCAGGCTGGAGTGCATGGCATGATCTCTGCTCACTGCAAGCTCCACCTCTCAGGTTCACGCCATTCTCCTGCCTCAGCCTCCTGAGTAGCTGGGATGACAGGTGCCCACCACCATGCCCGGCTAATTTTTTGTATTTTTAGTAGAGATGGGGTTTCACCTTGTTAGCCAGGATGGTCTCGATCTCCAGACCTTGTGATCCACCCATCTCGACCTCCCAAAAGTTTTAAGATGAAGAAATACTTCTAAACTTATTTTATAAAGTCAGCATTGCCCTGAAATCAAAACCAGGCAAACACCAAATTAACATAAATTACAGACCACTCTTACTGAAACACAAAGATGCAAAAAGTACTCAACAAAATATTGGCAAATCAAACTGAACAGCACATTACAAGGATCATTTGCCATGATCCAGTGGAATGTCTCTCTGGAATATTGGGATGGTGCAACATCTAAACATCACTGAATCTGATGGACCACATTAACATAATGAAAGACTAAAATATTATCTCATCAGATGCATAAAAATCATTTGACAAATTTCAACATCTTTCCATGATAAAACCTCTTAACAAACTACAAATAAAGGGAAATTATCTGGACATATTGAAAGCCATATTTAAAAGCCCACAGTTAGCATCATAGCCAATGCTGAAACACTGAACAAGCTTCCACTTAGATGATGGAGAAGACAAGGATGCCCTATCTCACCAATTCTGTTCTACATAGTATTGTAAGTCCTAGTCAGAGAACTTAGGCAAGAAAAAGTTACTAAATCAGAAAGAGAGGAGTAAAGGTGTCACTGTTTACAGATGACATGTCTTGTATGTAGAAAATCCTAAAAATTGCCCCCCAAAATCAAAACAAAACCAAAACAAAACAGCTGTAAGTTGCTAATTTGTGTGTATAAAATTGGTGTTCTGCAAGATGAATAAGTTCTGGAGACTGGATGCACAGAATCCTGAGTCTAGATAACTTGACTGCACAGTACACTTAAAAATTTGCTGAGAGAGTGTATCTCATGGTAGGTATTCTTATCACAATACAAACTTTAAAAGTTGTATATGAGGACATTGGTACTGCTTTCATATTATTTATTATGAATGAATTTCCAAAAAAAGTGTTATCAGTAATGAGTTGAGGTAATGAGTAATTCATATACAGGAATAGCCTCAAGAGAACAAGAGGAAGAGATGCATTTAGAGTAGAAATCCTCACACTTTAGATGCATTTTAAATGTCTGGATAATGGAGTACTTAAAAAGGGATGTGTCTGTCTCTTCCCCCAACTATTGAGAATTAGTTCCTGAGTAAATCAAAGAACATTATTTTATCCAGCCCCGGTAGGTCCTGAGGTCCTTGTCTCTGGCATCACAGAATGGGTTAGAGTGCAGGGCTGGCGTAGAGCTCCTGAGACAGTAATGTGATGTTGTCCAAAGCTCCATGGGTGAGGAGAGCCACACCACAGGTGGGACCCAAGGAAAGAGCCCAGGAGCTGTGCTGGGCTCAGCACTGAGGAAGCAAGACCTGGGCCTGTGGATAGGGGGAGCTGCGCTAGAAACAAGGAAGGGCAGGAGGGAAGAGGGGTTGGAAGGAAAGTAGCCCTGGGATCAGAATGGCAGGGCTGTCCTTTGCCTATTCCCATTTGTCTCGCAGACCAAGTGTCCTCCAACCACCAAATGTCAAGTGACATGCGTGCCACATGAGTTTAGGAGGAAAGGCACTCTACACAACGCTCAACTACCAGGAGGTAGGGGCCATATCTTAACTTTTCTACTTATAAAAAGAGTCAGCTAGGCTGGGCACGGTGGCTCATGCCTATAATCCCAGCACTTTGGGAGGCCGAGGCAGACAGATCACATGAGGTCAGGAGTTTGAGACCAGCCTGGCTAAGTGACAAAACCCTGTCTCTACTAAAATTACAAAAATTAGTCAGGCATGCTGCTGGGCACCTGTAATCCCAGCTACTAGGGAGGCTGAGGCAGGAGAATCGCTTCAACCCGGGAGAAAGAGGTTGTAGTGAGCCGAGATTGCACCACCGCACTCCAGCCTGGGCGACAGAGCGAGACTCTGTCTCTAAATAAATAAATAAATAAATAGTCATCCACCCCGTGTAATTTTTTGTTTTAGCTCTGGGGTAAAATCCACCCCTGGGCTGTGGAAGCATCCAGTCACTTCTCAGACTGGGACGGTGTCTCTGGGGAAGACAAAGGTGGGTTCAGAAGAAGATGAGATTGCTGGGCCTTCTCCTGTGCCTGCTGACACCTCCCGAAGGTGAGCATCTCAGAGGCCAGACACGGGCTGTGGCAATAACTGTGATGTCCCATGACTGACAGGGACTGACTGTTCTTGTTCCCAGCTGTCCTGTCCCAGGTGCAGCAGCAGGAGTGAGGCTCAAGACTGGAGAAGCCGTGGCTGCCCCCTTCCTCACCTGGCACGACTCCGGATTCTCCATCACAGCCAGTGGTTACTGCGGAGGCCCGGTCCACCGGCCCCTAGACAAGGGGTTGCACTGGCTGAGGAGCATCGATTATAAGAGAAACACGAACAACCGCCGCCTCTCAAGAGCCTCATCTCCATCCAGAGACTCATCCAACAAGCAGCGCTCCCTGCGGCGGAGCTCCAGGAACCCACAGGACAGCCAGGTATTCCTGTGGGAGACACAGTGAGGGGATGCCGTGTGAACCCAGACAGGACCCTCCCTCCTGGGGGCCTGAGATGTGCAGGATGCACTCGACACTTGGGTCCACTGAAGAGCAGGCTCAGATGGGAAGTGGCGAGGACTTCTCCTTAGAATCTGAGGCTTTCTTTTCTCTAATTCTCAGATGTCCTCAGGGACATTTCATTCTCTTCTCTGTGGCTCTGATTTCCCCCTTTCTCACTGCAGGCAAAAAAGGATGAAATAACTTTCTCCACTGGCAGATAGGCTGTTTCAATTTCATAGAAACCTTCCCTTCATCCGGCTCCCACGTGGTCTGCTTTTTCCTTCATCTGCTTCCATGTGGTCTGCTTTCCTTCCTGAAAAACAGGTCATGTTCAGGATTCACACTTGCTCGAGAAATTCTTCCCTCAAACTCCAGTTCAGACCAGGCACACCCTCTCCCACATCTGTCCCCACGTGGACCCTTCCATGAGATGACCCCACCTGTCCCCAGGTGGACCCTTCCCTCAGACGAGCACACCTGTCCCCAGGTGGACCCTTCCCTCAAACAAGCACACCTGTCCCCACGTGGACCCTTCTCTGAGAGGAGCACACCTGTCCCCACGTGGATCCTTCCTTCAGATGAGCACATCTGTCCCCACGTGCACCCTTCCCTGAGACAAGGACACCTGTCCCCACGTGGATCCTTCCTTCAGATGAGCCCCCCTGTCCCCACGTGGACCCTTCCCTCAAATGAGTACACCTGTCCCCACGTAGACCCTTCTCTGAGAGAAGCACACATGTCCCCAAGTGGACCCTTCCCTGAGTCAAGCACACTTGTCCCCAGGTGGAACCTTCCTCCACACGAGCACACCTGTCCCCACGTGGACCCTTCCCTGAGACAAGCACACCTGTCCCCACGTGGACATTTCCCTCAGAGGGGCACACCTGTCCCCACGTGGACCCTTCCCTGAGACAAGAACACCTGTCCCCACATGGACCCTTCCCTTGGAGGAGCACACCTGTCCCCACGTGGACCCTTCCTTCAGACAAGCACACCTGTCTCCATGTGGACTCTTTGCTCAGAGGAGCACAGGTGTACCCATGTGGACCCTTCCCTGAGACAAACACACCTGTCCCCACGTGGCCCCTTCCCTGAGATGAGCTCATCTGTCCTCTTCCCCAAGGCGAGCACACCTGTCCCCACGTGGACCTTTCCCTGAGACAAGCACACCTGTCCCCACATGGACCCTTCCCTCAGAGGAGCATAACTGTCCCCATGTGGACCCTTCCTTCAGATAAACTCACCTGTCACCACGTGGACCCTTCCCTCAGAGGAGCACACCAGTCCCCATGTGGACCCATCCTTCAGACAAGCTCACCTGTCCCCATGAACCCTTCCCTGAGACAAGCACACCTGTCCCTACATGGACCCTTCTCTCGGATGAGCACACCTGTCCCCATGTGGGCCCTTCCCTGAGACTACCACACCTGTCCCCACGTGGACCCTTCCTTGAGACAAGCACACCTGTCCCCACTTCGATGCTTCTCTCAGATAAGCACAACTCGCCCCACCTGGACCCCTCCCTGAGACGAACTCACCTGTCGCTACGTGGATTCTTGCCTTAGACAAGCACCTCTGTCCCCACGTGGACCCTTCCCTGAGGGAATCACACCTGTCCCCAGGTGGACCCTTACCTCAGACAAGCATGCCTGTCCCCAGGTCAATCCTTCCCTCAAAAGAGCACACCTGTCCACGTGAGGACCCTTCCTTGAGACAAGCACTCCTGTCCCCACATGGACCCTTCCCTCAGACGAGCTCACCTGTCCCCATGTGGACCCTTCCCTGAGACAAGCACAGCTGTCTCCATGTGGAATCTTCCTTCAGACAAGCACACCTGTCCCCACATGGACCCTTCCCTCAGATGAGCTCACCTGTCCCCATGTGGACCCTTCCCTGAGACAAGCACGCCTGTCCCCATGTAGACCCTTCCTTCAGAGGAGCTCACCTGTGCTCAGACACCACCAGGGTCCTCAGACACTAATAGGGTGGCTCAGACACTAATAGGGTGGCTCAGACTCTAAGAGGGGGGCTCAGAAACCACCAGAAGGGCTCAGACACCACCAGAGGGCGCCCAGCAACCACGGAATGCTCAGAACCTACCGGGGGCGCTCAGGACCTACAGGGGTCGCTCAAGACCTGGCTCAGGAGCAGATGCAAAGTGAAGCTGAGGTTTCCGTTTTCTCTTTGGGGATTCCTTGTCCTGCCCTGCAAAAGCCTTGCTCAGCAGCTATTATTGTTTCTTCCCTGGAATTCCCCAGTTCCTCTCATCTGAAAAGGACTTAGAGCAGAAATCCCATTTAACTTTTCACACTTCATTTTCAGTCTCCTTCTAGTGATATTTCAGTAAAATATTAATAAGAAATAATGAAGCCACAGTCCAAATGTTAGCACCATGCAAAGATTCGTGTGTCTTCTCCACTCTGTCAGTTACGCCTTAGGAAACTCTTCTCTCAATCCACTGCTCAGTGTACACTATGGCATTGTGTTTTCTTCTTTGCTTTCATCTGCTTTGCAGGGAAATGAAGCACCATTTATTGGGACGTGTCCTCCATTTCTGATGGGCTCCCCGTGGTCTCCACCTCAGATGGTTTTGCCACCATCTTTAATCCGTTAATGCCTTCAATCGCCCTCACCATCCATGTAATGAAGCAATGAATGCCTTTACTTCATCTACTTGTGTCTCCATCAGTCAGTTCACTTCTCTCCATTCTCACAAAGGACAGCCACCCACTACTTCAGAGCCTCCTGCAGCCTTGGGTGGTAAACCTATTAAAAAGCCCCTGCTGTTTAGAAAGGGTGTGTATTGGAAACTTAATCCCAAATTCCATAGTGTCCAGAGGTGAGAATGTTAAGAAATGATTAGGCCGAGAGGGCTCTGCCCTCATGAAGCAATTAATGCCATTATCATCAGAGTAGGTTACTTATTGTGGTAGCAGATTAGTTACTACAGGCCTGGGTTCCTCATTAAAAAATGAGTTTAGCCCCCTTTCCATCCTTTGCACATGCTCTCCTGCCTTCCACATGGGCATCACAGCAAGAAGGCTCTTGCCAGATGCTAGCACCTTGACATTGACTTCCCAGCCTCTAGAGCTGGGAGAAAATAAATTTCTTTTCCTTACACATTAGCCAGTGTGTGGTATTCACTCATTGCACCACAAAGTGGACTAAGACAAAAAATCAGTATCAAGAGGTGGGGCTGTTGTGATAACAAATATCCCAAAATGTAGAAGTGGAAGTAGTAATGCACAGAGACTGGAATAATTTGGAGGATCAGGTTATAAAAAGTCTAGATTGCCATGACTAGAACACTAGGGGTATTCTTTTGAGGACTCAGAAGAAGACAGCTGTGAGGAAATTCTGAAACTTCTTAGAGATTATTTAGGTGATGATCATTAGAATGTTGGTAGAACCGTGGACAATAAAGGCCGTTCTGATGAGGTCTCAGGAGAAAAAGAAGAATAGCTCATCGGAAAATGGAGCAAAGGCCATCCTTCCCTTAAAGTGGCAAGGAATGTGGCTGAATTGTGCTCATCCCTAGGTCTTTCTGTAAAGTGGAAGTTCAGAGCCATGAGTGAGGATATATGGTGGGAGAAATTTGAAGCAAATCTATGGCCTCACTTCTAGCAGGCACTTTAGGACTCTGTTCCCTGTGTCCAGGCACAGCACTCCTTGGCTGCCCATGATGTGGCTCAGGAGGACCTAGGTGTGGCTCAAGCCATCACTTTAATGGTACAAGTCATCAACTTCCATGGCATCCATGTATTGCTAATTCTGCAGGTGTGCAGAATACCACGAGGGCATGGCTTTCTCCACCTAGATTTCAAAGAATGCTGTGGACAGCCTAAGGTCTCGGGCAGTGAGTTGTTGCAGAGACAGAGTCACCACAGTGGACCCTTAGCACAATGCCAAGCAGAAATATGGGTTTGGAGGCACCACAAAGAGTTTCCAGTCAGCCTAGGAGAGCTAGAGGCCTGAGAGTCCCACCTGTGAGAGGGGCTGAGTGGACTGAACCCAGAAAATCCATAGAGGCAAGACTGCTGGAGGCCTTGGGGGCCCTTCCCCCTCCCCAGTGTGCACAAGATGCCGTCAAAGAGGATGATTTTCCAGCTATAAGACTTTTTTTTATTATACTTTAAGTTTTAGGGTGCATGTGCACAATGTGCAGGTTAGTTACATATGTATACATGTGCCATGCTGGTGTGTGCACCCATTAACTCGTCATTTAGCATTAGGTATATCTCCTAAAGCTATCCCTCCCCCCTCACCCCACCCCACAACAGTCCCCCGAGTGTGATGTTCCCTTTCCTGTGTCCATGTGTTCTCATTGTTCAGTTCCCACCTATGAGTGAGAATATGCGGTGTTTGGTTTTTTGTTCTTGCGATAGTTTACTGAGAATGATGATTTCCAATTTCATCCATGTCCCTACAAAGGACATGAACTCATCATTTTTTATGGCTGCATAGTATTCCATGGTGTATATGTGCCACATTTTCTTAATCCAGTCTATCGTTGTTGGACATTTGGATTGGTTCCAAGTCTTTGCTATTGTGAATAGTGCTGCGATAAACATATGTGTGCATGTGTCTTTATAGCAGCATGATTTATAGTCCTTTGGGTATATACCCAGTAATGGGATGGCTGGGTCAAATGGTATTTCTAGTTCTAGATCCCTGAGGAATCACCACAAGGACTTCTACAATGGTTGAACTAGTTCAAAACCCAACAAGGGAAAAAAACATTAAGTCTCAGCTATAAGACTTAATGTTTTTTTCCTCTGTTGGGTTTTGAACTAGGCACTGCTTTCTCCTTCCCTGTCTCTGAGCTTTGGAATGGGAATTTCTATCCCATACCTGCCCCATTGTTCACTGTATTTGAAAGTAGATAACTTGTTTTGACTTTATAGGCTCACAGATGGAAAAAATTTATATCAGGCTAAATTGTGCCTTGAGTCACACTCACATCTGATTTAGATGAGACTTTAGACTTCAGACTTTTGCACTGATGCTGGATAAGACTTTGGAGACAATTGGGATGGAATGAATGTAGTTTGCATTGTGATAAGGACATAAATTTTGATATTAGGAATGGAATGCTATGACTTAAATGTGTCTCCCAAAGTTTAGGATTTGGAAAAAATCTTTAATGCAACAGTGTTGAGAGGTGGGACCTTTATTATGTGATTAGGTCATGAAGGCTCTGTCCTCATGAATGGATTAATGTCACTGTCATTGGAGTGGGTTAGTTATTACAGGAGTGAATTTCTAATAAAAGATAGTCTCCTTTCTCTCGTGGACAAATGATCTCTTGCTCACCCACCTCTGCTGTGAGACGACACAGTGAGAAGGCCCTTGTGAGATGTCAGTGCCTTGATATTAGACTTCTCTGACTCAAGCACCATAAAGTATAAATTCCTTTTCTTTAGAAATTGCCCAGTCTCTGGTATTCGGTTATAGTAACACAAAGACAGACTGAGACTAAGCCATTGTAACATGTGTGAGGTGATATCTCATCGTGGTTTTAATTTGCATTTCCCTGATGATTAGTGATGTTGAGCATTTGACTCTTTATGTTAAGTGAAATAAGCCAGGTATAAAAAATTACTCCATAATCTCACTTACACATGCAATCTAAAAATGTTGAACTCAGAGAAGTAGAGAGAAGAATGGTGCCAACCAGGGGCTGGTGTCAGGGGCATGTGAAAGCTGAGGCATTGGTGAAAGGGTACAGAGTTTTGGTTTGACAGAAGGAATTAGTTTGAAGATCTATTGCACAGCAGGGTGACTTCCATGGTACTAATGTACTATATACTTGAAAACTGATAATAGAGTAGATTTTACACGTTTACACCATAAAAAATAAGTATGTGAGGTGATGGGCATGTTTATTTACTTGATTTAATAATTTCACAATGCCTGCATATGTCAAAACATCACGTCATACCACCATAATATATGAAATAGAATATGTTTTTCTAGTAAGTGTGATGCCTCTGTTTCTCTTTTTTTTTTGGAACAAAACAATAAACACCTTTATTACATGGGTGAAGACAAAACAAGGATTTATTTGCCCTTCCGGGCCTTGATTTTCCTAAGATAGAACTCCAACTCTTTGCCCTCTAGCACATACCCATCTGCTCAGCCACACTGTCCTGGCCTTGAAGCAATGCATGCAAGAAGCTTGCCCTGCTGGAACTGCTCCCCCAGGAGACTGCTGATTTTGGCATTCTTTTTCCTTTCATGATATTTCTTCTGAATTTTTTTAGATCGCTTTTTGTTCAAAATCTCTTCTTCCTCAGGAGTCAGCTTGGCTCCCTTCTTGCAGCCCAGGGGCGGCGCATAGTGGGACTCGTACCACTGTCGGTACAGTGTGCTGTCAATGAGCACAATGCAATTCTTCACCAGGGTCTTGGGACGAACCAGCTCGTTATTAGATGCATTGTAGACAACATCGATGATCGTTGTTTTATGAGCACAACATTCTGAGCCCCAGGAGAAATTCCTCACGTCCAGCCTCAGGGCACAGTATTTCTTGTTACCTCCCCACACACGGACTGTGTGGATGCGGCGGGGGCCAGTCTTGGTGTTGGCAGCTGGGTGCCCCAACTCATACTTCCGCTTCTTGTGGTAGGGCTTTCTCTTGTCCCTGGTTTTGTGGCACTTGTGCCAGTTGTCCCAAGAGATGTCCATCGCTCGGCACTGGCTGGAAAGAGGGCCTCTGTTTCTTTAACAACAGTTTCTGGAGATTGTTTTTCCCTTGAACAATGTTTCCTCTCTGCTGTCTTTACACAGTTTTCCTTTCCCAAGGGTTGATTTAAGACAGTGACAATTTATCTATTCTGTATCTGGTAGTTTCATGGAGAAATTTAATGAATAGCCACTTGAAACCATGTGGTGCTACTGAGACACCATCTGAAGGAGACAGATTTTCTGAGTGTAGGCCACAACCATATGTTAACACATTTTAAATTCAAAATCAGGGTTTAAATTTTGATATTTTACAATGGCTTCTTTGATTCCTTCCCAAGATCTAACCATTGAGCGTGTGAAAAGGGCTGGGACTCAGTTTACTGCTGTGCTTGGCATGATGATGTCCTGCAGAAATTCCTTTGGCTTTCTACATGTAGCTCAGCCTCCATATCAGCCAGCTCGCTTGGAGGTCAGAGTACTTCTCAAAGATCCTCAGTGTGTTGTTTCATTTTGAGAGGTTTCCAGCCCTTGTGAGACACCCCTTGGTTTTACAATCATCGCAAAGTTGTTTACGATTCCAAAAACATACCTGCCATCTGTCCATATGTTTGTTCTGCAGCTTTTGATTTCCTAAAATGCTGTAGTAACTGCAATAAGTTCTACCATCTGGATTAATTTTCACCTCAGATGGAAGAGTATATTTTAAGATAAAGATAAAGTAGTAACAGTATATTCTCCTCGGTAATATCCATTTCTATATTTTGAGCTATGGTCCATCAATAAATAATGTTCTGTCAGGCTCCTCAATGGAGTGCCTGAACATCTAAGGAAGGTACAGAAGGTACAAAACAGAAGTTAAGGTACAAACCATGGTGAACACAAGCTTGCTATGCTCCCATGTCTCCTGTCTGTCTTACTGTGCACCTGACACTCATTTTAACCTCACCAGGAAGTCAGTTAACTCTCAATCAGTTTATTGTAATGCCTCTAGGTAATTATATGTGGCAGTTTCAGCAGAAATGAAGAAACAACTTCACTAGAGAATCTAATACAGAAGAATGCAAGTGGCCCTGGGCTTGTTTTCATAAAAGCAGCATGCACCAGGCAGTTGATTCTCTTGGCTGTCGGCACTGAACACTCAGCATGCTGGCTTCGTCCCCTAAATAAGCTTCATCATGCATGGATAGGCTGGCAGCAATCCCGAGGCCATATGCAGATACACAGCCAACTGGGAAATGGGACACAATTCTTCTCCACTCCTCCTCTGAAGAATGGTCTGACAATGCCCTCTTCAGTTCCTTCCCTCTGCCACCCTGACCAGGACTATGCCATATGTGCACAGAGACACAAAATTCCTGATGGGAAGAATGAGGCTGGATCAACCAGACTAGCGGTTTCTCACTGAGGTAATGTGAGGTCAACTTCTAGGGTGGACAATTCAGGAAATTATCCAGCAGTTTTGTAATTGATGGCTATGGGAAAATGAACCACTGAGATGAGTAATTACTTATATTCCATTATTCCATGTGAGAAACAGACATCACAGTTCACCATAACTAAATTTTCATAACCTAAATTGATTACTTTAAATTTCTTCCTACATCTTCACTTAAGAATTTTTAACCATGAATGTGTCTTACCTATATTCCCAATATTTAAAATTGGGCTGTCAAGAGAGTCTAGAGAATTCGAGAACTAAGAACAGTGAAACTCCTGTATGTTCAGCAGCTCCCAAAGCAACACAATATTCCCCAGGAACACTGTTCTGTGCTTCAGCACAAATCATGCTTGTGTATTTCCTAATGGCTCCAATAGTGACCCTCCATTCCCATCAAACATTTGGCCTCCCCTTTCTCCACTCCCCTCCATTCATACATTATACTCTCAGCTCTGTCTAGGGTATCATAAAAGCCAGCAGACGGACCCTCCTGATCTCCTGAACGTGAAACCTAACACTATCATGCGATCGGCTCCTCTTGGCATAGTGACCTTCAAAGGCATCTCATTTGAATAATTACCTTTTTTTCCCTTCTGTAACAAAGTGTTTCTTTCCATTGTGCCTTCCCATAAGCATTTTAACATAATTTACTGTCCGACTACAGTTATTAATACACACAAATGCCACAACCTCTTTCTAGCCCAGGAGACCTGATTAATTCTTCTCTGGGGATGAGCACACCCTAGAAACACATCCCATTCACATAAACACGGGCACAACGATGACATGTTCTTGAGTCTACACCATTCTCCGTCCAACTCCACGAGCCCCTGAAGACCAAGACAGGCTCTTTCATGCCTGTGCAAGCTCTGGCCCAGGGACAGCCTGCTGAGGAATGGGCTCAGCTGGGTCTGGGTGCTGGGTTCATCTCTTCCCCTCTCCTGTCCCAAAGCAGGTCCATCACCCTGCTCAGGTCTGAACAGGAGTGTCCAGGTTTGTCTGGCCATCCGACTTTTTCAATGTATAGAAGCTCTCCTATTACCTACTGTATTCATTTTATAGGGCTTTTATGACAAAATACCACAGATCGGATGGCTTACAATACAAAACCAATTTCCTCACACTTATGGAGGATGAAAGCCTAAGATCAAGCTGCCAGCTGGGTGGGTTTCCTCTGAGGTCTCGCTCCCTGGCGTGCAGATGGCGCCTTCTCGCTGTTCTGTGGTAACATGGCCGTCCCTCGGGGCGTGTGCACCCCCCCTCCTGCTTCCCCTTCTTATAACAACAGTCAGATTGCATTAGGGCCCCACTCCAGGAATCTCACTTTAACTTATTTAGCTCTTTAAAAGACACTAATCCAAGTATGATTTCATTCTGAAGGACCAAGGGTTGGGACTTCAGCACATGAATTTAGGAGGGACACAGTCTCCCCTAGCAGCCTCCTCCAGGGATGTCAAATAAAAGGAATAAAAGGACACTGATGCTCCAGAGGGCCTTGAAAGCTTGCAGCTGCTTTGTTGTGGTGGGACATGGGTAAGCCCGCACCTTATCTATGATGGCAGATGGAATGACTTTAGTTTTACCAAACCAGATGACACCAACTATTTGACTGATAAGCCTGGACCCTGGATTTTGTCTGTATTAACCTCCCATCCTCTGTTCAGCAAGTGAGACAGCAAGACAGGGGCTGCAATTTATAAGCTGAAAAAAGACTCAGAAGTTACCATGATAACACCAATGTAGTGGAAAACATGTATCCCCTTTGGGTCAGCCCATCAACTGAGGTTGGAGGTCACTAGGCTGTGAGAGTTGGGCTGTGTAAATATCCCTGGAACAAGACAGTAAAAGTCCATTGTTCTTTTTAGGTTAATGCAAATTGATCTTGAATGTGGGGCAGCAGAAATGCTGAAGAAGGTATTGACTAAACTGATAACGAAATGCTATGTGGCTAACACCTCTCCTATTCTCGTCAGACTGGAGGAGATATTAGGAACAGCTGCATTCACTCGGGAGACCACCTTATTTAACTCCCAGTAATCTACTGTCATTCTCCATGTCCCAACTGGCCTCTGCATGGGCCATGCAGGTCTGTTGTAGGAACTGTGCAGTGGCCTCCTAATGCCTACCTGGGCTAACTCCTTAACAATCTTCATGATTGGATCATCTTCCCCTCCCCAGGGCGGGTGGTGTTGCTCCAGCTGTGGGACTCCCCATGGGTTGGCAGCTCTACCGGCATCCAGTTTGCCTTCTGCTTGGTCACATGCGTCACCACTTTAACTCTCAGTTGGAATTC